>NC_000023.11:14258700-14561730 GCF_000001405.40 Homo sapiens
TTTGCCTGAGGTCATATAATTTGCCAGTGATAGGACAGTAACTAGAAACTAGGTTTTCTAATACACAGACCAGTAGACAGAATTGACTTTTTAAAGTAAGTATTTAAAATATACAGAAAAGTAAAAAAGATAATTTAACAAATGTTCATACTCACTACCCAGTGTTAATCAAGGCCAACATTGATTTATTTGCATAGAGTAAAAGCCTTTTTGTGACCCAGCCCCATTCTCTTCTACTCCCTTCCCCATTTAGAAGTAGGTGTGATTAATACACTTTTAGTATGTGTATGTTTCTTTAAATAATTTATAGTGTTGCATATTTAAATTTTTTAAATAAATGGTATTAAGCTAGATGTGTCTGTGCAATTTTTTCTCAGCAATATTTATCTCAATATTACTAATGTTGACACATATAACTCTAGTTTATTAAATTTAACTGCTTAATAGTATTTTATGGTATGTTTTATACCACAATTTGTTTATCCAGTCTTGGAAAGTCTGGTTTTATCATTCTAAGATTTCTATTTCCCTTTTCACGATTTCTTTCTTTCTTTCTTTTTTGTAAAATTTTACTTTAAGTTCTGGGATACATGTGCAGAATGCGCAGGTTTGTTACATAGGTATACACGTGCCATGGTGGTTTGCTGCACCCATCAACCCGTCATCTACGTTAGGTATTTCTCCTAATGCTATCCCTCCCCTAGCCCCCCACCCCCCGATAGGCCCCAGTGTGTGATGTTCCTCTCCCTGTGTCCATGTGTTCTCATTGTTCAACTCCCACTTATGAATGAGAACATGTGGTGTTTTGTTTTCTTTCCTGTGTTAGTTTGCTGAGAATGATGGTTTCCAGCTTCATCCATGTCCCTGCAAAGGACATGAACTCATCCTTTTTTATGACTGCATAGCATTCCACGGTGAATATGTGCCACATTTTCTTAATCCAGTCTCACATTGATGGGCATTTGGGTTGGTTCCAAGTCTTTGCTATTGTGAATAGTGCTGCAATAAACATAGGTGTACATGTGTCTTTATAGTAGAATGATTTATAATCCTTTGGCTGTATACCCAGTAATGGGATTGCTGGGTCAAATGGTATTTCTGGTTCTAGATCCTTGAGGAATTACCACGCCATCTTCCACAATGGTTGAACTAGTTTACACTCCCACCAACAGTGTAAAAGTGTTCCTACTTCTCCACATCCTCTCCAGCATCTGTTGTTTCATGACTTTTTAATGATCACCATTCTAACTGGTGTGAGATGGTATCTCATTGTGGTTTCGATTTGCATTTCTCTAATGACCAGCGATGATGAGCTTTTTTTTCATATGTTTGTTGGCCACATAAATGTCTTCTTTTGAGGAGTGTCTGTTCATATACGTCACCCACTTTTTGATGGGCTTGTTTGTTTTTTTCTTGCAAATTTGTTGAAGTTCCTTGTAGATTCTGGATATTAGCCCTTTGTCAGATGGATAGATTGCAAAATTTTTCTCCCATTCTGCAGGTTGCCTGTTCACTCTGATGACAGTTTCTTTTGCTGTGCAGAAGCTCTTTAGTTTAATTAGATCCCGTTTGTCAATTTTGGCTTTTGTTGCCATTGCTTTTGGTGTTTTAGTCATGAAGTCTTTGCCCATGCCTATGTCCTGAATGGTATTGCCTAGGTTTTCTTCTAGGGTTTTTATGGTTTTAGTTCTTACATTTAAGTCTTTAATCCATCTTGAGTTAATTTTTGTATAAGGTATAAGGAAGGGGTCCAATTTCCATTTTCTGCATATGGCTAGACAGTTTTCCCAACACTACATAGGCCCAGAAATACAGAAGATTGAAAGAGCAGCCAAACTGTCTTGGTAACATTACATGGATGACATTATTCAAATTGGATAGACTAAGGAATACATACTGTCTGTCTTAAGTAGGTAGATTGATACCTGAGTAAACAGAACTTGAAGATTAACTCTATATGAAGTGGGGGCCAGCCACTGAAGTATAGTTTTTGGAAACCATGTTGGTTGATGTCCAAAAACAATCCATGAATTTGTTCAAGAAAAACTGACAGACTAAAAGCCTCCAGGAAATCATATTTTGCACCACTTATGATAAACTTGTTTAGTATAGGTGTACTTTATACCTCACATAGGGATCTTGCTCAGACCATTGTACAACTTATCTTTAAGTACATCTAATTTGACCATGAACCTATCTTAGAAACTCTCTAGGCAGCTATGTAAGTCCACTTTTCTACTCAGATCATTCTTTATGCAGTATTTTTAAGAAAGTTGTCAGTGAATGATACTGATACAGACTGGAGCCTGAAGCAAAAAATGTGGCCATTAGAAAGTAGAACCTTTTGAGTTTTGTTCTTCATGTATGACTGAAACCACTACCTCATGTGCCCCATTTGAGAGATTTGTTAGTGGGTGTTATTGTACATTGAGCAAGTAATGAAGCAAGATCAGGTGTAATATGACTTGAGTTTTCTATCACACAAGGGTACCATATGTGAACACCAACAAAGTAGATATTACCCAAGGAATATCCATTTGTAAGTGAAAGTGGCCTATCAAAGGAATGCATAAACAAGGCATTAATGATTTCTCAGAGGCATAAGAAAAAATGTCCATTTGCTCTCCAGATGTGGCTGTCTCAGATACAAGAACTTTGCCCAGCACCTTGGCTTTCTTGGTGGCTTTGGTACACCCAGTGTCCCAAGGATGCCTGGGTGTGATTTGTGGACTTATCAGCTAAGTTTAAGACAGAAGGATTTGTGAGTTGTGGAAGCTCTACAACCCCCAAGAAAACTGCTTACATCTATGTGTGGAAAGGGACATTCTTCTCAGTAGTTGGAGTTACAGGCTGTGGTGCTTGCCCTGGAAATTACTTCTCAAAATGCACCTTCTTACCTTTCGATTAATTCCCAGGCATGTGTCCATTTGGTGAAAGTGTGGACTGTTGCTTGGATGCAGGAAGCCTGATCAAGACTCAGGCTTAGAAAATATTATCAACCAGTATCATAAGACGCACAACTTCTACTCATTCACCATGTGAATTGCATGGATAAGGAGCTTTTGAGGATGAAATCCAAAGGAATCAGCAAGCTGATCAGACATGTTCTGGCCAGGTTAGTACCAAACAATCTGGATAAAGTATGCAACAAAGCATGAGAATCCAACTTCAATTCAGGATCTGGCACCAAAACAACACCTACTGATTCCATCCCATGAGGCCAAGGAAACCTGGAGATGCTAGCTATATATCTAGTGGAGGGTGGAATCTCCTCTTCGGATAAGCAGAAATACCAGACTTGGTACCCTAACCTTCTTTCAAGGATACTGCTGGCCAAGGATGCAGTAGATACCTTTATAAAGAATAGTATTGACATCCTCATTTCCATAGCAAGTGGAAGCAACATACCAGAACTCTTATTTGGACTGTGTCTTATTATTTGTATTCAGCAACCACATTCAATGAGACAATGATGACACTTTCACAGGAAGAGTTATCCAGTAGTGAGAGGCTTCATGGGACTTTTGGTGGATGCAACCATGTGCCACATCAGTCACCAACATCAGGGACCATTGAGAAATGGCCTGGATTCTTAGAGAAAAGACTGAATAAAATAGGAGAACAAACCAGACTAACGTCCCAGTGGAGCATAGGCTAAGAAGGCAAATTTGGACGCTAAATGTGGCATTTCCCCAGCCAGTACTTTCCATTTAAATAGAATGTTTTATTGTGAGGCAGAGGAGGGGTTGAGGATGCCCAGAGTCAGGATGGGATGGAAATGCATATCTCATTGACATATCCCTTCAAAATCTCCCTCTTCCTTCTTCTACCCAAATGTTTTATAACCCAGAGGTGGGTGATGGGCTAATGTCTGCTTAACCATTTTTGGTCAAGGTTTTGAGAAGATAGCTGAGAACCACGCTTTAAAATTTGGGGTACTGGGAATGTATTATTTTGTCTTTTGTACCCTCTGGCCAAAGTCTTATATTCTAAGATATATTGCTTTCAGTATCCTGTTTAAAGAAGCCTTCCAGGGATGTGTCTGATCCACAGCATCTTTACTCTCTACACTCTTTTTTTTTTTTTTTTTTTTGAGATGGAGTCTTGCTCTGTTGTGCATACTGAAGTGCAGTGACATGATCTTGGCTCATTACAACCTCCTCCTCCCAGGTTCAAGTGATTCTCCTGCCTCAGCCTCCCGAGTAGCTAGGACTAAAGCACTAGTATATCCACCTGTAGTGGGTATGCTAATCCTGGCTAATTTTTGTATTTTCAGTAGAGATGGGGATTCACCACATTGGCCAGCCTGGTCTCAAACTCCTGGCCTCAGATGATTTGCCTGCCTTGGTCTCCCAAAGTGCTGGGATTACAGGCATAAGCCACCGCACCCAGCCTACTGTCTATGCTCTTGTTAGGTAAGCGTTTATTATTTTACCCTTTAGAGTTTCTGCCATAGCTCTTACATGAGACACATGTAACTTTCAATATCATGTTCAGTGCAGACTTTTAGGTATGTGGCTGACTCACAGACTCATCACTAGCTGCACCCTTAATAGTAGGTATTATGGTAGTTTGATGGGGATAGCATTGAATCTATAAGTTACTTTGGGCAGTATGGCCAATTTCACGATATTGATTCTTCCTATCCATGAGCATGGAATGTTTTTCCATTTGTTTGTGTCCTCTCTTAATTCCTTGAGCAGTGGTTTGTAATTCTTCTTGAAGAGTTCCTTCACATCCCTTGTAAGTTGTATTCCTAGGTATTTTATTTTCTTTGTAGCAATTGTGAATGGGAGTTCACTCATGATTTGGCTCTCTGTTTGTCTATTATTGGTGTATAGGAATGCCTGTGATTTTTGCACATTGATTTTGTATCCTGAGACTTTGCTGAAGTTGCTTATCAGCTTAAGGAGATTTTGGGCTGAGACGATGGGATTTTCTAAATATGCAATTATGTCATTTGCAAACAGAGACAATTTGACTTCCTCTCTTCCTATTTGAATATCCTTTATTGCTTTCTCTTTCCTGATTGCCCTGGCCAGAACTTCCAACACTATGTTGAATAGGAGTGGTGAGAGAGGGCATCCTTGTCTTGTGCTGGTTTTCAAAGGGGCTGCTTCTAGTTTTTGCCCATTCGGTATGATATTGGCTGTGGGTTTGTCATAAACAGCTCTTATTATTTTCAGATACGTTCCATCAATTCCTAGTTTATTGAGAGTTTTTAGCATGAAGGGCTGTTGAATTTTATCAGAGGCCTTTTCTGAATCTATTGAGATAAGCATGTGGTTTTTGTCATTGGTTCTGTTTATGTGATGGCTTACTTTTATTGATTTGCATATGTTGAACCAGCCTTGCATCCCAGGGATGAAGCCCACTTGATCATGGTGGATAAGCTTTTTGATGTGCTGCTGGATTCAGTTTGCCAGTATTTTATTGAGGATTTTCACATTGATGTTCATCAGGGATATTGGCCTGAAATTTTCTTTTTTTGTTGTGTCTCTGCCAGATTTTGGTATCAGGATGATGCTGGCTTCATAAAATGAGTTAGGGAGGAGTCCCTCTTTTTCTATTGTTTGGAATCATTTCAGAAGGAATGGTACCAGCTCCTCTTTGTACCTCCGGTGGAATTTGGCTATGAACCCGTGTGGTCCTGGGCTTTTTTTGATTGGTAGGCTATTAATTACTGCCTCAATTTCAGAACTTGTTATTGGTCTATTCAGAGATTTGACTTCTTCCTGGTTTAGTCTTGAGAGGGTGTACGTGTCCAGGAATTTATCCATTTCTTCCAGATTTTCTAGTTTATTGGGGTAGAGGTGTTTATAGTATTCTCTGATGGTAGTTTGTATTTCTGTGAGATCAGTGGTGATCTCCCCTTTATCATTTTTTATTGTGTCTACTTGATTCTTCTCTCTTTTCTTCTTTATTAGTCTGGCTAGCGTTCTATGTATTTTGTTAATCTTTTCCAAAAACCAGCTCCTCGATTCATTGATTTTTTTGAAGGGGTTTTCGTGTCTCTATCTCCTTCAGTTCTGCTCTGACCTTAGTTATTTCTTGTTTTCTACTAGCTTTTGAATTTGTTTGTCTACTAGCTTTTGAATTTGTTTGCTCTTGCTTCTTCAGTTCTTTTAATTGTGATGTTAGGGTGTCGATTTTAGATCTTTCCCACTCTCTCCTGTGGGCATTTAGTGCTATAAATTTCCCTCTAAACACTGCTTTAGCTGTGTCCCAGAGATTCTGGTATGTTGTGTTTTTGTTCCCACTGGTTTCAAATAGCTTATTTATTTGTGCCTTATTTTCGTTATTCACCCAGTAGTCATTCAGGGGTAGGTTGTTCCGTTTCCACATAGTTGTGTGGTTTTGAGTGAGATTGTTAATACTGAGTTCTAATTTGATTGCACTGTGGCCTGAGAGACTGTTTGTTATGATTTCCATTCTTTTGCATTTGCTGGGGAGTGTTTTACTTCCAATTATGTGGTCAATTTTAGAATAAGTGCAATGTAGTGCTGAGAAGAATATATATTCTGTTGATATGGGGTGGAGAGTTCTGTAGATGTCTATTAGGTCTGCTTGGTCCAGAGCTGAGTTCAAGTCCTGAATATCCTTGTTAATTTTCTGTCTCGTTGATCTGTCTAATATTGACAGTGGGCTGCTAAAGTCTCCCATTATTATTGTGTCGGAGTCTATGAATTATTTCATCTTTGGAGGAAAGGTTAATTAAGTGAGTAATTAACTGGTGGCATTCGAGTGCAAAATTATGGCCCCATAGCTTTGTTATTTGATGACTGACAAAATAAATGTGCTGCCAGACCAACTACTAAAGTCATTTTAATGACTTTGGATTGATAAAAATAATAACAGTATTTATAATAGCTGACATGTATTAAGTGATTACTAAGATATAGGCTATGTTCTAAGTGTTTTATTCATATTAATTTATCTAATTCTCACAGCAAGCTTATGTGGATTTTTTCTCTTTTTTTTTTACATATGAAGAGATAATAAACCATTTTCCTAATATACTAGTTTTCTGTTGCTGCTTAACAAATTACTACAAACTTAGCAGTTAAATGCAACACATTTTCTATCTCGTAGTTTCTGTGGGGCAGGAGATCTGGCATAGCTTAACTAGTTTCTCTGCTCAGGGTCTCAGAAGGCTGCAATCAAGGTGTTGGCCAGCTGCATTCTCATCTAGAGGCTCAACTAGGGAAAGATTCACCTCCCAGTGCACTAGTGTTGCTTGCCAAATTCATCATTTTGCAGTTGTAGGACTGAAGTTCACGTTTTACTTGCTGGCTGTTGCTTGGGGTCTGCTCTCAGGTCATAAAGGCCACCTGCAATGCCTTGTCATGTAGTCCTCCCACAACATGGCAGCTTATTTCTTCAAAGCTAGCAAGAGAGCCTCTTCAGCTTGTGAAGATGGAGTCTTATATAATATAGCCTAAGGAACAGAGTGACATTCCATCAAGGTTGCCACATTCCACTGGCCAGAAGCAGATCACAGGATCTATCCACACTCAAGGTGAGGGGATTACACAAGGGCATAACTAATTGGTGGTTACTTTAGGGTGTTTGCCACACCAGAGGACACAGCTAGTAAGTGTCTGAGCTAAGATTCAAATTGATATAGTCTACTTCCAGTATCTAGGCTGTTTACTCTTATGCCATGCTACTTGGAAAATATCGTTGCGATATGTGTAGCAATTATAACATCTGTAATGACTATTTACTGAGTCTCCATCTGCATATCTATTGCTGACAAATTGCTGTGTAACAAATGACTACAAAACTTGGAGGCATGCAATAATAAATATATTTCACATGTCTACTGTATTTATTTCAATCTAAGCTATGCTGTGTTTGGTGATTATTCTGATCTCCGCTGACTCTACCATGAATCTGTGGATTGACTAGGGGTGACTTTATGTAGGTTGGGCTCAAGTAGGGTGACTTGGCTTTGTTCCAAGTGTTTCTTGTCCACTTTCTGGAACAGTTGGCTAGTCTGTGCCTGCTGTTTGCCTGGCAATAGCAAAAGCAAGAGAGAGGAAGCAGACAAACTCAAAGCCTCTTGAAATCTAGGCTTGGAACTTACACATTGTCATATCTACCTAATTCTTTTCACCCAAACTAGCCACATGGCTGAGCCTGGATCCAATAGGTAGGAAAATAGACTTGGTCTCTTTAGAGAGAACTTCAGAGTCACCTGGGCAAAGGGCATGTATATAGAAGGAGGGTAGTGGAAAAATGATGTCATTAATGCAATCTACATACCTAGATATAATAAAAAATGTCTAGAAGATGCTGAATTTTGTGTAGTTGCTTAGGGTGGATGGATCCAGAAAAAGTATAAAAACACGCATTTATTATTTTTCAGTAGCAGTTGGCACACTAGTTTTCTAAGCAAACAGAAAATTTATTATTTAGGTAAGACTGTCTTTAGATGTGGAGCAACTCGTATCTGTCCTCAGACTGTATTTTGGTGCAAGAATTTTCTATCACTTCTTTGCATGCTATTTAACTTTTATCCTGGAAATTTCAATTTGCTAAATTAGATCTAACTGACTCCAGTTTCTAGGTCCTTATTGCCAACTGTGTACTGAAATTATATTAACTATTCTTACTTCCTAGTTCCATTAGCTAGAAGAGAGAGAAAAATGTTTGCTCACTACTTTCCATCTATCTCCCTGTAGTAGAGCAAATCTTTACAGCCAATAAACCTGAAGGGTTGAGCAATAAACTTTAGTGCTCAGACCTCTCATTTTATGGTCTTGTGGGTAATGTCACTGTCAAAGACCTTTGGACACTATTTTCTCTTTTTCCAAGTACCTGGGTTTAGAAAAATGTGATATTCAGCATCTGCTCACAGAAAGAAAAAAGTTTATCACCATCAAAATCTCTTGTCAATTTAACATTTAGCAATGTAAGGTGATCCTGAGGGTTGTACAATGTGAGTTTGAGGTTGAGCAAAGAAAACATATACAGAAAAATGCCCTGATTATTGGAAAAAGAACTAAACCAGAATATCTGGTTTCTTTTCTAACTACCCATGTGGCTAGTTTGGGTGAAAAGAATTAGGTAGATATGACAATGTGTAAGTATTTTACACCCAGCTGTGGATGTAAATAGCTATATGATTCTTGGCAAGTCACTCCTTTTTTCAAACCTCAGTTTCTTCAACTGTGAAAATAGCAGGTTAGAAATGAAGATCTCACTTGTTGACTGATGGGCACTTGGGCTGGTTCCATATTTTTTGCAATTGCGAATTGTGCTGCTATAAACACGCATGTGCCAGTATCTTTTTAGTATAATGATTTCCTTTCCTCTGGGTAGATACTCAATACTGGGATTACTGGATCAAATGGTAGTTCTACTTTCAGTTCTTTAAGGAATCTCCACAGAAATTGTGGTGCATATATATAGAATGGACTACTACTCAGACATAAAAAGGAATGAATTAATGGCATTTACAGCAACCTGGATGGAACTGGAAACTATTATTCTAAGTAAAATAACTCAGGAATGGAAAACCAAACATCGTGTGCTCTCACTCATAAGTAGGAGCTAAGCTATGAGGATGCAAAGACATAAGAATGATACAGTGGACTTTGGGGACTTGGGGAAAAGGGTGGGAGCGGGGTGAGGGATAAAAGACTACAAATTGGGTGCAGTGTATACTGTTGAGGTGATGCATGCACCAAAATCTCACAAATCACCACTAAAGAACTTACTCAGGTAACCAAATACCACCTGCTCCCCAAAAACCCAGGGAAATAAAAAATTTTTTTAAAAAGAAATAAAGATCTCAAAGTCCCTTCAAGGACTTAAAGGTAAGCTAAATTATTTTCCTCATTTTTTCTGCTCCCCAAAATGACTTCTTATTTACCTACACATTAATATTATCTTGGAGTAACTCTCCTTTCTCTCCTCTGTGAAGACTCTCTTCCTTCCAACACATGTGTATTACTGGGTTGTAAATTTGATTAATACTGTAGACACAGGGTCAGCAAACTACAGCCCAGCGGCCAAATCCAGCAGCCATCTGCTTGTGTAAATAAAGTTTATTGGAACACAGCCATGCCCATTAATTTATGTACTAAATATGACTACTTTCATGCCACCATGGCAGAGTTGAATGGCTAGCTGTGACAGAGACTGGCCCACAAAGCCTAAAATATCTGACCCCTTACATGAAAAGATTGTGGATCCCTAGCATAGACAAAAAATTTGACGATGAGGGGAAAAAACACTATTATACAAGACCTTCTTCAGGATTATGCCAGTCCGTTTATTAGCAGTTGATTGGTTTAGTTGTATTATCCTTTTACTGGAATGGCCATTTAATTCATTATTTTTCATCTTTGTACAAAGATAAATGTGATTACCAAGGGGTTGCTTTGAAGCCAGCAGCCTTTCCCTGATCTTGTCCAGCATCTCACCTCTATAGCACAAGGTAACTTTGGCATTCTTATTGAATATCTTTTCATCCCGATAGACATACAAGGGTCGTGCTTTTTTTCTTAAACCTGAGGATTAACAGGAAGGCAACTAGAAATACATTAATTGACTGTACCAGTCAGAGACACCTATAAATCTGTGAAAGAGCTATGATTGAGAAACTTCCTATCTGCCTCAAATTACCCAGGAAGGCAGCTTGGATAATACATTATTACTTTTTGAGAGCAATAATGGGCCAGAGGTATAGTTTGAGATGTGCATCTCATTTCATCCCTTCCCTGTGGCTGACAGATTCCCAGAAAGTCTCCAGAGCAGCGTATGCAATGGGGCATATTTTTCCATCCATGCTTCAGCTGACTGAGACAGGTGTTAGCCTTCATTGCCGTGTCTCTCCCAACAACAGTGAGCATGTAGCTCTTTTCCCTCCTTGCCATGCCCTTCTGACTGTGAGTCTGAGATGCCAGAACATGATATGGACTGCTCTGACAAGCCCCTGTGCAGCCAATATCAGGACTGCAAATGTCTGATGGCTTTAGGCTTGAAACTTCAAACAGGAGCTTCAAAGCAAGGGTTTTGGGGCCATGAATCCACAAAAGGTGATGAGTAAATTTTAAGTATTATGAGTATTATGACTGTTGAACATTAAACATTATTTTTTATTTTTATTTTTTTAATTGAGATGGAGTCTTGCTCTGTTGCCCAGGCTGGAGTGCAGTGGTGCAATCTCGGCTCACTCCCTCCGCCTCCTGGGTTCACGCCATTCTCCTGCCTCAGCCTCCTGAGTAGCTGGGACTACAGGCACCCACCACCATGCCCAGCTAATTTTTTGTATTTTTAGTAGAGACGGGGTTTCACCGTGTTAGCCAGGATGGTCTCGATCTCCTGACCTCATGATCCGCCCGCTTCGGCCTCCCAAAATGCTGGCATTACAGGCGTTAGCCACCACACCCAGCCTGAACATTATTTCCTTAAGGGGCAACTATGCCTTTAAGGCAACCTTAGAAGCTCATTGACTCAGGTTTCTAAGATAAATACCTATTAGAAAACCCCAGGCAGGGGCAGATCCTAATAACTTTAAAGAGTTCAGAATCTTGGGATAACTTTACCCTGAATTTGGCTGCATGAATTCACTAATTTAATGAGAAAACATCTTCAGAGAATACAGATCTTAATTAACTCTGGGCAGATATACTATATCTCTGGAAAACAGAAAATGATTTCAACCATCTTCCCAGCTTGACTGTAAACACCCAGAAGGCAGGGACCACACCATTCTTTTCCACAAACTTTCCTTCAGTGTATACCATGATTTCCAAAACATAGTAGTTCCTCAGTAAATACACTTAACTTTCACATATTGACTTTAAATTTATACCCCCAAACCTGGCTTCAAAGTAAAAAGTCTTTAAATGAGAAAACATGTCCACTAATATTAATGTGAAAAACTATGCTGCATCCCATCCCAATTGGAGGAAGCAATTAATGTTTTACAAATAGTAGAATATTTCAACTGAACAATAAAAATAAGCTCTTATAAGTAACAAACAACAATTTGAAAGTTAACAAATACTGTTTGACATGAAATATAATAAAAATATATTACATTTGACTAGGAAGAAGAGAAGTCTTGAGAGTGAGTTGGGGAAGTGGGCAGTGGAGAAGATACATGAGGTTGCTATGCTTTAGATGTTTGTCCCCTCCAAACCAGGTGTTAAAATTTGATTCCCAACATTGGATGCAGGGCCTAATGGGAGGTATTTGGGTTATGGGGGTAGATCTCTCATGAATACATTAATGTCCTCTCTTGAGGATGAGTGAGTTATCACTCTATTAGTTCCTACAAGAGCTGGTTGTTAAAAAGACCCTGGCCCTTCCACCTCACTCTCTTGATTCCTTTCTTGGCATGTGATCTCTGCACAAACTGGCACCCCGTTGGAGTTCCCCCATGAGTGAAAGCAGCCTGAGGCCCTCATCAGATGCAGATACTCAATCTTGAACTTTCAAGACATCAGAATCATGAGCCAAATAAACCTTTCTTTCTTTACAAATTACTCAGTCCCAGGTATTCCCTTATAGCAACACAAAACAGACTAAGATGGAGGAAGTCATTCTTTATAAATTGTATTTTTCTTTCTGCCTAGTTTTCTCCACTAATTTTTCAAACTTTTGGGAGGTCATGGTAATCTTGCACTCAAACCATCCTTAAAAATGTTACAGCGTAGAAAACCACCTAAAGGTCAAAATAAGGCTAATTTATGAAAGGAGTTTGAAACATGTGGAAATAACTCGTGCACCCAACAGATTGAAGGAAGGCCTGTGTGAACAAACAGGTTCCCCTACTGGGGGTATATATGCAAAGGAAAGCATTTGAGTTTATCTCAATAAGTTCCATATTGATTTTTATGACGAGGAAACAATTGTTTTGAGTAAATTGTGGAATGTGTATTTTTTTCTGAAATGGAATGTTGATATATTATTTCTTTAGTGTATTTGCTTAGTGGGCTTTGGGGTGAAAAAGCAGTTACGCGAAAGCAAAAAAAACAAAACAGAGTTATCTAAAAAGTGGAATAACTTTCAAGAACCCTTACGAAGATTATTAACTGATTAACTGACAGTCACTATGTGAGGTAAGTCTGTATTTGATGATCGATTTAATCCTAATTCTGAACAAACCAGAAGCTGCAAATTGGTCTGAAACTTGAATGGCACTGACCTCTGTTGATGAACATGCATAGCTCTGTCAAAAACTCACTAACTTCACTTTTGCTGGAACAAAGCCTGAAACCAGTCGATCTGCTGCTTGAAGAGGGAAATGAGGGCACGGTAGGGAGAAGGGTTGGCTCCAAAGACCCCCACAGCCTAGTCTTTCTACCCTCAGGTCCCATCTGTCTACCCAGATGCCTTTCTCCTTACTTCCTTCCACTCCTGTGATTCATAGAATTTTTAGTTTTGAAAGCCTCAAAACAGTTTGAAAAAGCAACTTGAATTCTAAAACTTAGTTTAGAGATCTTTAAGAAAATCGTTCTGTTGGTAAAAAAAAAAATGTATTCAACTTTTTGATTAGAATTTGAAGGTAGATAGATACTCTTATAGGACTTTAACTCTATTTTTACCTTACATCATAGCTACTAGTTTCAGTATCTTTTCTCCCAAAGTAAATTCAACTCCTTGTGAGAGAAATCCTATTCTTTTTCATTGCATTATCTCCTATGCTTCACATATATAAGGCATTAAGTGTCTCCTGAAAATATGAATACATAGATGTCACAAAGAGACTGAGAGAAGGCTGATTTTAAAGGTCTTCTACATATTAACACATAAACTCATGTACTTATATGCATGTTGATCTCCCAAAGAATCCAAGAAGTATGTAATCAGTACCCTAAATCATCTGGTTGAGGTGTGTGCTAAAATTAATGTCAGCTTTTAATTTTAATCGTAGACCATTTTTCTGGTCTCATGACTTCTAAGATACATTCCATGGCTGTGGTTACTGGTACTCTAATGAAATGATTTTGCAATCTCTGCATTCAGTTATGTATATGTGTATTTGAAACTCTTTGTGGAATCTCATGTAGATATATTTGTTTTCAGGATCCCTTACCTTTACTTTGGGTGATGACAGCTCATCCTGGGATTCTAGCACTTCTGTCATCTGGAATTATTCTTTAACATAGTTTGTAATTAGCCTTTAGTTTCCAGTCTTTTTGTGGCATTGAAATAGACTCAATCATGTCCTTTGCTTCAACTCTTACCCACTTATTAGACTCCATCCTGTAACATTAGAACTGTGCATTAAATGTGGTAATATATAAAATTTTAGCAATCTGAAATTTGCAATATGCTAACCCAAGATCTGCATTCTTAAATGTTTCTTGAATGTTTGGAAGTTATAGGACGCATTTAACTTTCATGTTTGTTTTGTTTTTAAAAAGAAAAAGTTATTTTTGTCACACAAATAGTAATAGATTATATGAACAGACAAACCACGGAGAATCTGAAGTTATAACAAGAATCTTCAGGAAACAGGAAGATATATTGATATCTAAATAAAAGCATAACATCCTTTGGTATTCAAAAGGAAGTTGGAATTCTAGAGACTTTTTTTCCTCTTCAAATGAGAGCTAATAAGAACTGATGACCGAGACAGGTGGTAAAATTAACTAGGCAAACCATCCAATCATACAAGCTGACACAAATCACTTGAATGTACTTTTCAGGCTCAAAACATGGGCTCTGAAACCCATCAAAATACATTTTACAGATGGTTTGACAGAATGTCATCATGTAGGATGCAAATAGTTTTCTACACTCTTTCAATACATATTTGGCTTTTGTTTTTTAATTTCATCGTAGATATTTCTCTTAGCTTTTAACTCTACTAACAGGAGGTATAAAAATATATCTGTCTTATATATTCCACAGTAGTACCTGGAAAACACATATGCGTGTGCATACACACACACACACACACACACACACACACACTTTTTCTCTTGTTAGAAAGCAGGTATATTAATGACATTGTGTTTTAAAGTATTTTAATATTGTAATGTTTTTATGAAAGATGTTAGGGAAGCTCTCTCTTGGGGCGAGGAGGGACATGAGAGAATATTGATTTTACCTTAACATTGCTGGGTCTGATCTAGGCCATCGTCCCCCTCGTAACTAGGGTATGATAGCATTCCTGATTGTTCCCATATACTACCATGGAGAAGGTTAGGTGTTGACTCTGGAAGGATCAAAAATCCCATTTTATCTCATACTCGTTACAACTCAAATGTATTTGGGCTGCATTAGGTACAGCCTGGTCAACTGTCCCACACTTAGGCAGGCTAATCCTCAAAAGATTAAGATTGGATTCCCGTGGGACTATGTGAGTAGAGTTCTCAACATACAGCATCCTTGGAGAGGGATATCCATATGCTCTTTTGCAGGGACTCATAAGACATTAAGGGACCTGCTTAAGGTTGCTCTGTCAGTAAGGAATGGAATTGGAACTCCAACCTAATGATTTAATCCATGATATTTTGCCTTTTCCATGACATTACACATGCCTGACAGCAGTGGTACGCTGGTAGATGTTTAACAACTGGCTTTTCAAGAGAAAATAAAAATGCTCTGATTTGTAGTAAATCCTCTCATGATGGCCAACTTTAAACCACCAATATGGCATTATTGTACACAGAATTGGGATGCCCTGCAAAGTAACATACCATTATATGGTATTTCTACCATACAGATGCAATAGACACAAATAACTTCAAGAACAGGGGTAATAGTAAAGTAATTAGGAAGTGATGCTTTGAGTATTACCTTTGTTTTTCATAACTTACTTGGTGTTAAGTTTATATAACTTAATTTTTAATAATAGCTATGTTTAACCAGTGGCTTGCAAAATTTCTGAAAATTAAACAGTCAGTTCTTGTGAGCCAGTATGAGCCAGTTCCAGTATAGTATGGCCTGATATTTGCATGAAGACCAGGGATAATGAATATCAGCATTTTAAAGATTTCATGTTAAGACTACAACTTACTCACTATATCTTACTTATCTATTTCTGTGCCTGCAAGAGGAAAACTTAAACTATGAAAAAAAAGAAGAATATAAGCTTCTTTGTGAAACTCTATGAAGGGAAAAATTTGGAAAACTGAGCCAGGTTTTGAAGCCAGGGCTGGAGAGAGAAACTAGGCAGAAACTGGGAGCTGCCCCAAAATTAGGAAAGAGGTTTAGAGCCTGAAGCAACAAGAAAGAAGGATTTGTGTTCCTGGACAGATTCCCAGAAGAATTTTTTCTCATTGCTGATCACCAATGTGTTTTTCCTAGACAACTCACAGATATATATATGCCATTTTAATTTTAGTGCTATAAATTGCTACAGGCCTATTAAAACTTCACTTCCTCTTTTCCCACTTCCCAAGATGACTCGGAATATTTAATTTCCACAATGTAAAATCTTTTTAGCTTCATTTTTGGATGACACCCAACTTATCTGTCTAGCATGCCACTCTTTCCTGATTCAAGTCCTGAATTTCCAAATGCCTGTAATAACATCTCCATCAGTATGGTCCTAAACCTCAGTTTGGTCTTTGGCCACAACAACCTCATCATCCTCTCCCCAAACAATCTGAGCCTGCCTAATTTTCTGGATTCTGTTGGTGGCCCTACTGTTCATCTAGTCTGAGTCATACTTGACTCTTTTCCTTCACCTCAGTGGCCAAGTCTGTCAATTGTATCATCAAAAGGCCTTCCTTATACGCTTCTTCCTTTCTATGGCAACTGCCCCACTCTAACTCTACATATTGGAATGTAAGAAAGCAAACACAATTTTATTGCAGGGATATCTGTATATTCTTTCTAATTTATAGCAAAGGGGAAAATTATTATAAGCTCTAGAAATAAGGTGGCAAAATAGATTATGTCTTGATTCTAAAGGAACTTTACATGATTCATAGTGACAAAATACTTGTAACGTATCCAGAGTTAATAAGGATTATCAATATATCATGATAGTAAACTAACAGCTACTGAATCAGAGCTTGGCTCTAATATAGGATATTAATCTGAAATCTCCTAATAAGGTCTTGCCTTACAATCAGACATTGCAATGATCTCCCCACTGGCTTTTTAGGTTCTGATTGCTCCAATATGCTCATTTTGGTTAGGTTTATCTTGCTCAAGTATCTACCTAAAATCTATCATTGCCTCCTGAATCTAGTCCAGATGCCTTTCCCTGGCTTCACAGTTTTACATTCCAGCTTTTTTTTTTTTTTCCGTGACTCCAATTCCTACTCTACACTAGTCAAACTCATTGTTTCCTGAGAAAGCCTTTCCCTTTTTCAACTCGCAATCTTTATGCATTCTGCTATTTCTAACTGGAGTTACCTTCTCTCAAATTTTATCACATCTTTCCTGACCTCAGCTTTTCATAGAGATTCCATCCTTCCTCTCTGCAAACCTGTATTTGTTCTTTTGTGTCATCAGCATCTTCTACCTTTTATGAGGGTCTTTTTGGGCAATTGTTTTATCCTTCCTGCTAGAAAAAGAAAACCATGTCTTACATTTATTTTGTATATTTGCAGTGCTCAGAATAGAGGTATTTGATGACTTATTGAGATGGGTGGTCAGCTGGATTTTGGCAAGTTTCTTCCAGACTAACTTTGTTAGGGCTGTGAGGGAAAAAAACGCTGTGGCATGTTGATCGTTGTGGGAAAAATCAACAATAACAATAATGCAACAATATTAATAGTTATCATTTGTAAGTGTCTGCTAGATTGTCGGATACTTTCTAGGTGATTTTATATATATAACCACCTAGAAATACACACACACACACACACACACACACACACACACACACACACTGATCCTTACTGCACGGCAAGGGATGCATTATATAAAGTAAACTGCCCCTCAGTCAAGAAGACCCCACCTCTCTCTGCCTTCTGCCAACCCTTTCTACAAACTTTAAAAGTTTGCCCAAATTTTACACCTGCATATCACTTGGTTTCAAGGATGATATACTCTTGGTCTACTATTATGCAAGGTCTGAAACCCTCTAGGTGTGCCTAAAGTTGGTTCTTCCAGCTTGACCCTTTTCACATCCTCTTCATGTGTACATGTTACTGGTCTCAACTTTTTTATACTCAGAAATGTGATAAAAGATTAATGTTAAAGATCAAGAGATATGTAAATATCAAGTATAATAAAATCAAGCAATCTACATGTGAAAAATTTTACTGGAGTGAAGAACATGGATAAATGTCAGTAAATAAAATTCCAAAATGTAACACCAAAGAGTGCTCTTCAGAAGATTTTTTACTAGATGTACAGTTGGATCACAAGCTTCCGGGCTAGAATGAGGTGATTGGGGCTCAAATGACAGCATTCTCAGTGTTGGCTACTGAGCAGTATTATTGGACTTCTGCTCAGGGGTTTTGGAAGTCACGTAGAAGTTGGGATCTAAACTTTCTATTTATTTATGTGCATTTTACTTTATGAATGTTGTGATATAGGAGAAAAGAAGCCCTTAGGATTAGGCATGATTTGATTCCTGTTTCCACCTCTTGCTAGCTGTGTATTCTAGGGCAAGTTACCTAGCCTCTCTGAACCTGAGTTTCTTCATCAATACAAAGAAGTTAACAGTACCTACCTGATGGCACTGTTGCCAGAGTAATGAAATATATAACCATTGTCTATGGCTGTGTGACTCACTGTCTTAAAAAAATCACCATTCAACAAAAACCATATGATTATTCCAGTAGGCACAGAAAAAGCTTTCATAAAATTCAACATTCTCTCATGATTAAAAACTTTCAACAACGAGGCAGAAAAATAACATACCACAATATAATAAAGGCCATATATGACAAATCCACTGCCAACATCATACTGAACAGGGAGAAGTTGAAAGCCTTTCCTCTAATAACGGGAACAAGACAAAGATGCCAACTATCAACCACTCTTATTCAACATAGAACTGGAAGTCCTAGCCAGAACAATCAGATAAGAGAAATAAAGAAAAGGCATCCAAACTGGAAAAGAGGAAGACAAATTTTCCCTCTTTGCTGACAATATGATATTGTATCTAGAAAAAAACTGAAGACTCCACCACAAAACTCTTACATGTGACAAGTAAATTCAGTAAAATTGTAGGATAAAAAAAATCAATGTATAAAAAATAAATAGTGTTTCTATACACCAATAATGATCTAGTTGAGAAAGAATCAAGAAGGCAATCCCACTTACAATAGCTACAAACGAGAAAATACCCAGGAATAAATTAACCAAGGAGGTGAAAGATCTCTGAAGGAAAATTACAAAACACCAATGAAAGAAGTTGAAGATGACGACACAAACAAATGGAAAAACATCCCATGCTGATCAGAAGAATTAACACTGTTAAAATGACCATATTGCCCAAAGCAATCTACAGATTCAATGCAATCTCTATCAAACTACAAACGTTATTCCTCACAGAATTAGAAAGCAATCCTAAAATTCATATGGAACAAAAAAAAGAGCCAGAATACCCAAAGCAACACTGAACAAAGAGAACGAAGCTGGAGGCATCACGTTACTTGACTTCAAAATATATTACAAGGCTATAGTAAGCAAAACAGTATGGTATTGATGTAAAAGTAGACACACAGACCAATGGAACATAATAGAGAACCCATAAATAAAACCACATATTTACAGCTAACTAATTTTTGATGAAGCCAACGTGAACTTACATTGGGGAAAGGACATTCTCTTTAATAAATAGTGTTGGGAAAACAGGATATCCACATACAGAAGAATGAAACTGGACTCCTATCTCTCACCATATATAAAAATCAACTCAAAATGGGTTAAAAACTTAAACACAAGACCTGAAACTATAAAAACACTAGAAGAAAATCAGGGAGAACGTTCCTGGATATTCGTCCAAGCAAAGAATTTATGACTAAGACCTCAAAAGAACTGGCAACAAAAGCAAAAACAGAAAAATGGGACTACATTAAACTATAGTATAGCAAAGAAGAAAATCAACAAAGTGAAGAAACAACCTATTGAATGGGAGAAAATATTTGTAAACTATTCATCTGACAGGTGACTAATATCCAGAATGTACAAGGAAATCAAACCAACAGGAACAAAACCAAAAAAGTCCTATTTAAAAGTGGGCAAAGGATGTGAATAGAAATTTCTCAAAAGAAGATGTACAGATGGCCAACAGGTATATGAAAAAATGCTCAACGTCACTAGTCATCAGAGAAATGCAAATCAAAACCACAATGATAGGTCATCTTATCTCAGAATGGCTATCATCAAAATGACAAAATGACAAATGCTGGCCAGAATGTGCAGAAAAGGCAAGTCTTATACATTGTTGGTGGGAATGTAAATTAGCATAGCCATTATGAAAAACAGTATGAAGTTTCCTCAAAAAACTAAAAATAGTACTACTAGATGATCTAGCAATCCCCCTATTGGGTATTCATCCAAAGGAAAGGAAATCATTATATCAAAGAGATATCTGTACCCCCACGTTTACTGCAGCACTATTCCCAATAGCAAGAATGTAGCATCAACCTAAGTGTTCATCAATGGATGAATGGATAAAGAAAATGTGGTATATATACACAATTGGATACTATTTGGCCATAAAAAAGAACAAAATACTGTCATTTGCAGCAACATGGATGGAACTGGAGGTCATTATGTTAATTGAAATAAGCCAGGCACAAAAAGACAAATATTGTGTGTTCTAATTTATGTGAGAACTAACAAATTTGATCACATGGAAATAGAGTGGAGAGATAGATAACAGAAATTGGGAAGGGTGAGAGCAGGGGAGGGGAGGTATGAAGAGAACTGAGTTAAATTGTACAAACCTGGTAAGATAGAAGGAATAAATCCAATATTTGATAGCAGAGCCGAGTGTCTATACTTAACAAAAATGTAGTGTAGTCAGGTGATAGATACCCTAAATACCCTGACTTGATCACTACACATTTTATACAAGTAACAACATTTCTCCTGTACCTCATAAATTTGCACAAATAAGAAACACAAGTTAAAAATCATCATTTATTATTATTCACAAGTCTAAGGTTAGTCAAGTAGTTCTACTGATTTGGACCAGGCTTGGCTGATGTTGACTGGACTCACTTGTGCATCTGCTATTGGCTGGCAGGTCAGCTGGGGCAGGCTTGTCTAGGATGGCCTAATTCACATGTCTGGTGGCTAGCCAGCTGTTGGTTGAGATAAGAGAGTTGGCCCAGTCACATGCTTCTTGCCTTCCAGCATCCTAGCTTGAGCTTGTTTATATGGAGGTGGAATAGGATACCAAGAGGGCTAGCTAGAGCAAGTCAGAATGCCAGTCTAGGTTCAAGGGTGAGGGATATAGACTACATCTCTGTTTTGTTTGTTTGTTTGAGAATCCACTTTAATCAAAACCTTTTATTTGTTTATTTGTTTTTAACTTTTAGGTTCAGGGTTGTAGGTTTGATGTATAGGTAAATTGTATGTCACAAGAGTTTAGCATACAGATTATTTTGTCACCCAGGTAATAAGCATAGTACCCCACAGGTAGTTTTTAGATCTTCACCTTCCTCCCGCCCTCTACCCTCAAGTACACCCCAGTGTCTTTTCCCTGCTTTGTGTTCACGTGTACTCAATGTTTAGCTTCCATTTATAAGTGAGAACGTGTGGTATTTGGTTTTCTGTCCCTGTGTTAGTTTGCTCAGGATAATGGCCTCCAGCTTCACCCATGTTGTTGCAGAGGACATGATCTCATTATTTTTATGGCTGTGTAGTATTCCGTGGTGTATATGTACCACATTCTCTTTATCCAGTCTACCTTTGATGGGCATTTAGGTTGGTTCCATGTCTTTGGTATTGTAAATAGTGCTGTGATTAACATACACATGCATGTGTCTTTATGGTAGAATGATTTCTTTTCTATTGGGTATATACCCAATAATGGGATTGCTGCGTTGAGTGATAATTCTGCTTTAAGTTCTTTGAGAAATTGCCAAACTGCTTTCCACAATGGCTGAACTAATTTACAGTCCCACTAGCAGTGTATAAGCATTTGATACCAAAATGTAATAAAACACATTTAGCTATTTTCTTGTTTGCCATGGATATGTTTTTGATATTTGTGGTTAATTTTTTTTTCAATGGCTTCTGGGGAACAAGTGGGTTTTTGTTACATGGATGAATGGTACACTGGTGAAGTCTGAGATTTTAGTGCACCCATCACCCGAGTAGTGTACGTTGTACCCAATATGTAGTATTTTTCTATCACTCACTCCCCTCCCAACATCCCCTCTTCTGAATCTCCAAAGTCCATTATATTTCTCCATATGCCTCCGCGTACCCATAGCTTAGCTCCCACTTACAAATGAGAACATACACTATTTGATTTTCCATTATATTTATATATGCCAATATATATTCCATTATATAATATTGTATAAGCGAGTTACCTCACTCATAATAATGGCCACCAACTCCATCCAAGTTGCTGCAAAAAACGTTATTTTATTCCTTTTTATGGCCGAGAGTATTCCATGGTGTATATATACCACATTTTCTTTATCCACTCACGCTCATTGATTAATGGGCACTTAAGCTGGTTCCCTATCTTTGCAATTGTGAATCGTGCTGTGATAAACATATTTGTGCAGGTGTCTTGATGATATAATGACTTCTTTTCCTTTGGGTAGATGCCCAGTAGTGGGATTACTGAATCGAATGATAGATCTACTTTTAGTTCTTTGAGAAATCTCCATACTATTTTCCACAGAGGTTGTACTAATTTACCTTCCCACCAACAGTGTATAAGCATTCCCTTTTTACCACATCCACACAAACATCAATTGTTTTCTGACTTTATAATAATGGCCATTGTGTCTGGGGTAAGGTGGTATCTCATGGTGGTTTTAATTTTTATTTATCTGACGATTAGTAATGCTGAGCATTTTTTTGTATGTTTGTTGGCCATTTGTATATCTTCTTTTGAGAACTGTCTATTCATGTCATTTGCCCACTTTTTGATGAAATTATTTGGGTTTCTTCTTGCTGCTTTGTTTGAGTTCCTTGTAGGTTCTGGATATTAGTCCTTTGTTGATGCATAATTTGCAAATATTTTCTCCTATTCTATGGGTTGCATGTTTACTCTGATGATTATTTCCTTTGTTGTGTATAAGCTTTTGCATTTAATTAGGTCCCATTTATTTATTTATTTTTGTTTTTGTTGTATTTGCTTTTGGGGTCTTAGTCACAAATTATTTTCCTAGGCCAATGTCCAGATTAGTTTTTTTCTAGGCTTTCTTCTAGAATTTTTATAGTTTCAAGTCTTAGCTTTAAGTCTTTAATACATCTTGAGTTGATTTTCATATATGGTGAGAGATAGGGATCCAGTTTCATTCTTCTACATGTGGCTTTCCAGTTTTCTCAGCACCATTTATTGAATAGTGTATCCTTTCCCAAATTTATGTTTTTGTGTGCTTTGTCTAAGGTCAGTTGGTTGTAACTATTTGGATTTATTTCTGGATTCTCTATTCTGTTCCATTGGTCAGTGTGTCTACTTTTATACAAATACCATGCTGTTTTGGTTAGTATAGACTTGTAGTATAATTTCAAGTCAGGTAATGTGATGCCTCTAGATTTGTTCTTTTTTGCTCTGTATCGCTTTGGTTATTCTGGCTCTTCTTAAATTCCACATGAATTTTAGGATTTCTTTTCTAATTCTGTGAAAAATTGTGTTGGTATTTTGATAGGGATTGCACTAAATCTGTAGGTTTCTTTGAGCAGCATGGACATTTTCATGACATTGATTCTTTCAATCCATGAGTATGGGATATATTTCCATTTGTGTCATAGACTCCACTTCTTGATGGAAGGAACTTCAGTCACATTGTAAAGGTGTATGGATACAGAAGGGGTGGAAAACTGTGGCTATTTTTGCAATCTATCCCACGACTGCCTTGAAAAATTGTTTATCAGTATTTTCTAAAACTGAGCACATGCATTCCCTTTGACCCAGCAACAGCATTGCTAGATATATACCAAAAAGATGCATTCATATGTGATAAAAATATATAGTATGAAAAATACGCAGTATTTTTCTATCACTCACTCCCCTCCCAACATCCCCTCTTCTGAATCTCCAGAGTCCATTATATTTCTCCATATGCCATTCCCTTTGATCCATATTTGGGACTGTTCATAATAGTCCCAAATTGCAAACTACCCAAATGCCCATTAACATCCCTATTTTGGACAGATAAATACATTTTAGTATTTTCACACAATGGAATACTATGTGCAATGAGAATGAACAATCTACAACTATGTCCAACAATATGGATGAATCTTACAAGCTTAGTAAAGAAACAGACACAGAGGAGTACATATTTTCTAAATTAATTTACATAAACGTTTAAAACAGGCAAAATAAACCTATTCTATTAGAAACCAGGATAGTGATTACCCTTGGGATGAAAAGGATTGGAAATGGTTACAAGGTCAAGGGAGGATTTCAAGGGGGCTGTTCATGTTCTGTTTCTTGATCTAGGCGCTTATTGCACAGACATGTTCAGTTTGTGGAAATTCATTGAGCTATACTCTCATTAGTTAAGCAATTTTCCGTATGCATGTTTTATACCAATTAAAACATTTGTGAAATACAGCACATTTGAAAGTACTTATTCATAGCAGCCTCTCAAATATTTATCTTTCCCCTTCACATTCCCAAAGGAGAGTATATGTATACTAACAATTTCCATTGTTATAGTTGAGCAGGAAACAATGTATCCTTCATGTGAATAGGATACCCAAAGATAATTTAAAATGGACACCACATCAGCTAAAATCTTGTATTTTTAAAGTATCCATCCGGCCTGAGACATGATTTTGGCATTCAAAGGACTGAATCTGGTATAACAGCTGGGTTGTATACCATCTGGACAGAGTGTCTCAGCTGTCTTTAATCTTTTTTTCCACCTGTTTAGATCAAAGAACTTAAGGTTATATCCAATTTTCAGGTCAATAGCTTTATCTTCATTACTTTTTCTTCACTCAGAAAAACCGATTGGAATGTAAAAAAGCAACCATAACTTTATTGCAAGGGTAACTGTGTATTCTCTCTAATTTATAGCAAAGGGGAAAGTTATTACAAACTCCGGAGATAAATAGTGAAACAGACAGATTATGTCTCAATTCTAAAGGAAATTTACATCATTCATAGTGACTAAATACTTGTAACATATCCACAGTTAAGAAGGATAACCAGTGTATTATGACAGTAAGTGAACAACTGCTAAATCAGAGCATGGCACTAATATAGTTTGTTAACCTATATAGGGCTGAGTTTTGCTGTGTTAAAAATTATTCTCCAAATTCAGAGGCATAAAGCAACGAAGGTTTGTTTCCTGTTTTCGCTGCATGTTGACTGAGAGTGAGCTGGGAATTTTGTTTCACCTTACCTTCAATCTCGGGCCAACTTCGATCTGGAACGTTTTGTATCATCACGGTAGAGGGACAGAAAACATGGCAGACCACACACTCACTCTTAAAGTTTCCACCTGAAAGTGACACATGTAATTGCTGCTCATTTTTCACTGGCCAAAGCTAGTTGTGTGGCCACACCTAGCTTCAGGTGGGTAGTGTAGTTATATCTTACCATGTGTCCAGAAGAAGAGAGAGCCAGACTAATGATGAACAGCCTTAGTGACTACCATATATCGTCAATTTGCAGGTCTTAAAATAGCTTTATTTAGTTTTTGGTCATAAGGTATACCTTGATTCCTACCCTAGCTACCCTGAAGTATGTATTGATAATCACAAGAAAGCCTGAAAACTAGAACATAAATTAGTATAAATCTATCTCTGTATTATTTGTAAGACTTTAGAACTGGAAAATACCTTCCATAACTATCTAGTTTAAGCCGCTTATATTAAAGTTAGAGAAATTGTAACTCATAGGTGATGTGCTTCAAGTCAAAGTGGTATTTATGATAAAACCAGAAATAAGTTCAATATTTTAAATTCAAAGTAACAGCCTTGTATGTAAATGAAAGAAACTGCATATTGTAATAGTGTCTCAAGCATCTATAATTTGGGGCAATATTCAGTCTTTGTTCACTCAGTAAATATTTGTTCAACACTTACAGGCACTGAATTAGATCCTGTAAAAAAATAAAAGATGAAATAGCTATAGAATCTTTACTCAAAGAGAGGCAGAGTCTGGTAGAATCAGCCAAGGAATGGGACACACACACACACACACACACACACACACACACAGACAGACAGACAGACAGACAGACAAAGGAAATAGCAAAGGAATCATTTTCCCCTCCACAAGATGAACTGTAAATGATAACTGGTCAAGAGTTGATATGCAATGAAATCTAGAAATACTAGCTAGTATCAGTTGATTTCCTTCTGTGCACCAAGCACTGTGAAGACTTCGTAGTTCCACTTTACAGAGTGATTTAGAAAGCATTGGCATTTTTATTATATCGATCTCCCGTCCATTTTTAAGGGGTTTTTTTTTTGCCATTGTATGGTATTTTCTAAATTTATCCAAAAGGGGCCTGAATATGCATCACTGAATTTATTCCCAGGCATCTTACAGCATTTTGTTTTTGAACAAAATATGTATATACATTCTCTAATTGATTACTGCTAATGTGTAGCAAATATGTTGATTTTGATGTGATGTTTTTGTATCTAGCAATCTTGCTTAATTTCTATATTAGTTCTAATAATGGCTTGTTGATTATTCTGGATTTTTCAGAATGGTCATATCATCTACAAATTAGAATCAGTTATCTCCTCCTTTCTAATTCTCACAGCTAATTTTTTTCCCCTTTTCTAATATTATTTCATTGGCTAGGACCCTGATCAAATGCTTAGTAACAGTGAGAACAGAGTTACTAGTTTTGTTCTTGAATTTAATGGATAATTAAGATTTCACCATGAAATATTATTTAATATAGGCTTTTTAGAAGATTATTTTTGATGTCAGTGAAGGTTCTCTTTTTTCAAATTTTTTAATAATTTTATCTTGGATGGGTGTTGAATTTTTTCAAGTGTTTTCTTTTTGTTTCTGTCCGGAGAGTCAAATGTTTTCTCTCACATAAGTTGTTTATGTGATTATTAGATCAGTGTACTTTTCTGTCATTTTATTAGTCTTGCATTCCCGAGTGTAAACAAACTCTACTAAAGTTGATGTATTAATTTTGAATGTCACTGTTGGATTTGATATATGGATATTTTATTTAGAACTCTTCTTTAAAAAAATCTATGTGCATCTGCATTTGTACTTTTTTTTTCTTGTGTTATCTTTGGTTTCAATGTCAAGTTAATATCAACTTTGTAAAATGAGTTTGACAGCTTTCTTTTCTTACTAGCATCTGAAGCACTCTCTCTCTCCCCTCCTCTCTCAGATAGATAGATACATAGATAGATAGATAGATAGATAGATAGATAGATAGATAGATAGATAGATGGATAGATAGATAGATGAATAGATAGATAGATAGAATGGGATCTATTCTTTGAAAATTTTGTAAATTTGGCCTATAACAGTCATTTCACCTAACATCTATTAAGGTAAGAGGGATATTTTTAAACACTTAACTGATTTCTTCAAGGGTTATTGTTTATCCAGGTTTTATATTTCTTCTTGCGTCAATTGTATTTAATGTAGCAGCCAAAGTAGACTAACTTCTGTGCCAACTAATTTTCCAATCCCAGTTGCTTAATACAATAAAAGTTTATTTTTCATGCATGTTACAGTCCAATGTGGGTAGGTATAATAGTATCAATGGGTTGAAGGTTACCTCTGTAACCATGATCACTCAGGGACTGAGAATTCTTTTATATTGTACCTTCATCTAGTTCCAGGCCCATGGATGATAAAGGAGTGTGACAATCATCTTTGGAAGAATTTTTTTTATTATATTATTATACTTTAAGTTTTAGGGTACATGCGCACAATGTGCAGGTTAGTTACATATGTATACATGTGCCATGCTGGTGTGCTGCACTCATTAACTCATCATTTAGCATTAGGTATATCTCCTAAAGCTATCCCTCCCCCCTCCCCCCACCCCACAACAGTCCCCAGAGTGTGATGTTCCCCTTCCTGTGTCCATGTGTTCTCATTGTTCAATTCCCACCTATGAGTGAGAATATGCGGTGTTTGGTTTTTTGTTCTTGCGATAGTTTACTGAGAATGATGATTTCCAATTTCATCCATGTCCCTACAAAGGACATGAACTCATCCTTTTTTATGGCTGCATAGTATTCCATGGTGTATATGTGCCACATTTCTTAATCCAGTCTATCATTGTTGGACATTTGGGTTGGTTCCAAGTCTTTGCTATTGTGAATAGTGCTGCAATAAACATCCGTGTGCATGTGTCTTTATAGCAGCATGATTTATAGTCCTTTGGGTATATACCCAGTAATGGGATGGCTGGGTCAAATGGTATTTCTAGTTCTAGATCGCTGAGGAATCGCCACACTGACTTCCACAATGGTTGAACTAGTTTACAGTCCCACCAACAGTGTAAAAGTGTTCCTATTTCTCCACATCCTCTCCAGTACCTGTTGTTTCCTGACTTTTTAATGATCGCCATGCTAACTGGTGTGAGATGGTATCTCATTGTGGTTTTGATTTGCATTTCTCTGATGGCCAGTGATGATGAGCATTTTTTCATGTGTTTTTTGGCTGCATAAATGTCTTTTTTTGAGAAGTGTCTGTTCATGTCCTTCGCCCACTTTTTAATGGGGTTGTTTGTTTTTTTCTTGTAAATTTGTTTGAGTTCTTTGTAGATTTTGGATATTAGCCCTTTGTCAGATGAGTAGGTTGTGAAAATTTTCTCCCATTTTATAGGTTGCCTGTTCACTCTGATGGTAGTTTCTTTTGCTGTGCAGAAGCTCTTTAGTTTAATTAGATCCCATTTGTCAATTTTGTCTTTTGTTGCCATTGCTTTTGGTGTTTTAGACATGAAGTCCTTGCCCATGCCTATGTCCTGAATGGTAATGCCTAGGTTTTCTTCTAGAGTTTTTATGGTTTTAGGTCTAACGTTTAAGTCTTTAATCCATCTTGAATTAATTTTTGTATAAGGTGTAAGGAAGGGATCCAGTTTCAGCTTTCTACATATGGCTAGCCAGTTTTCCCAGCACCATTTATTAAATAGGGAATCCTTTCCCCATTGCTTGTTTTTGTCAGGTTTGTCAAAGATCAGATAGTTGTAGATATGCGGCATTATTTCTGAGGGCTCCGTTCAGTTCCATTGATCTATATCTCTGTTTTGGTACCAGTACCATGCTGTTTTGGTTACTATAGCCTTGTAGTATAGTTTGAAGTCAGGTAGCGTGATGCCTCCAGCTTTGTTCTTTTGGCTTAGGATTGTCTTGGCAATGCAGACTCTTTTTTGGTGCCGTATGAACTTTAAAGTAGTTTTTTCCAATTCTGTGAAGAAAGTCATTGGTAGCTTGATGGGGATGGCATTGAATGTATCAATTACCTTGGGCAGTATGGCCATTTTCATGATATTCATTCTTCCTACCCACGAGCATGGAATGTTCTTCCATTTCTTTGTATCCTCTTTTATTTCATTGAGCAGTGGTTTGTAGTTCTCCTTGAAGAGGTCCTTCACATCCCTTGTAAGTTGGATTCCTAGGTATTTTATTCTCTTTGAAGCAATTGTGAATGGGAGTTCACTCATGATTTGGCTCTCTGTTTGTCTGTTATTGGTGTATAAGAATGCTTGTGATTTTTGTACATTGATTTTGTACCCTGAGACTTTGCTGAAGTTGCTTATCAGCTTAAGGAGATTTTGGGCTGAGATGAAGGGGTTTTCTAGATGTACAATCATGTCATCTGCAAACAGGGACAATTTGACTTCCTCTTTTCCTAATTGAATGCCCTTTATTTCCTTCTCCTGCCTGATTGCCCTGGCCAGAACTTCCAACACTATGTTGAATAGGAGTGGTGAGAGAGGGCATCCCTGTCTTGTGCCAGTTTTCCAAGGGAATGCTTCCAGTTTTTGCCCATTCAGTATGATATTGGCTGTGGGTTTGTCATAGATAGCTCTTATTATTTTGAGATACGTCCCATCAATACCTAATTTATTGAGTTTTTAGCATGAAGGGTTGTTGAATTTTGTCAAAGGCCTTTTCTGCATCTATTGAGATAATCATGTGGTTTTTGTCTTTGGTTCTGTTTATATGCTGGATTACATTTATTGATTTGCGTATATTGAACCAGCCTTGCATCCCAGGGATGAAGCCCACTTGATCATGGTGGATAAGCTTTTTGATGTGCTGCTGGATTTGGTTTGCCAGTATTTTATTGAGGATTTTTGCATCAATGTTCATCAAGGATATTGGTCTAAAATTCTCTTTTTTTGTTGTGTCTCTGCCCGGCTTTGGTATCAGGATGATGCTGGCCTCATAAAATGAGTGAGAGAGGATTCCCTCTTTTTCTGTTGATGGGAATAGTTTCAGAAGGAATGGTGCCAGTTCCTCCTTGTACCTCTGGTAGAATTCGGCTGTGAATCCATCTGGTCCTGGACTCTTTTTGGTTGGTAAGCTATTGATTATTGCCACAATTTCAGAGCCTGTTATTGGTCTATTCAGAGATTTAACTTCTTCCTGGTTTAGTCTTGGGAGGCTGTATGTGTTGAGGAATTTATCCATTTCTTCTAGATTTTCTAGTTTATTTGCGTAGAGGTGTTTGTAGTATTCTCTGATGGTAGTTTGTATTTCTGTGGGATCAGTGGTGATATCCCCTTTATCATTTTTTATTGCATCTATTTGATTCTTCTCTCTTTCCTTCTTTATTAGTCTTGCTAGCGGTCTCTCGATTTTGTTGATCCTTTCAAAAAACCATCTCCTGGATTCATTAATTTTTTGAAGGTTTTTTTTGTGTCTCTATTTCCTTCAGTTCTGCTCTGATACAATAATTATATTTTTCTGGACAATTTCCATTACATCTATATTTATTGGCATGAATTCATTCATTGAATTCTTTGATTTTTATAAATATTATATTTTTTGTTATGTGATTATAATAGAATTTATTAGTATAGTCTCTATTTTTCAGTCTTGTTAGAGGCTTCTTTGTTCTGTTAATTTCTTTCATAAAACTAAGCTTTTGTTTTGTTGAATCTTTCTATTGTTTATTTTCTATTCTGAATTTCTACGCTATCTTTGTTATTTTTGTTTCTGTTTTCCTGGGTTTACTCTCTTGTTCATTTTCTAGTTCCCGAGGGTCTTTTTTTGATTTTGAATCCTCAATGTTTCAAAAAGCTCTCTTTTTTTCATAATTTCCATTACACTTTTTTTCTCATTTGTACCACTAGTAGTACTAAAGAAAGCTCCCAAACTTTCACAACAGGGAGATATCCTTGCCTAACACAAGGAAGATAAACTGTGGAGCAACTTGTGCTAACAATAATAGCAAAAGGCCTATGATTCCCAAACAAACTTACTGTACCTTAATCCCAGGAATTTATCAGTGTGGATAGCAAAAACAGTAAAATTAAACCAGAAATTAAAAGTAACCCAAAGCACACAATCTTAATGACATCACATGTTTCCTTTACTATACTCAATAGGAGCATCACGCAAGACACTCATTTCCAAGCAGTTATTTCTTCTTGTTTACGTGAACATCAAACATAAAATAACTGCATCTAAATTATACTTTAGTTTTTTTGTTTACAACTAGGTTGTGCATATAGCATGTCCACATTCACAGAAATTTAGAAGCACTGTTTAAATTGTTTTGCCAAAAGCACAAGATACAAAAACAACACATTCAAGAACAACTCTAGTTGTATAGAAATATACAATAAATGTGCTGAGTCATTACATAGAGAAGAAGGTGGGGCAGTTGAAAAATATAGCATAGAAATGGAATTAGTCTTGGAAGGGCTTCACGGAAGAGAGAATCTGGAAGACAAGAATGTGCATGTTGGCAAGGGTTATGTAGGAGTGAATAGTTGGAAGTTGGGGATGCTTTGTGAAAACTTTGGCAGTAGAGGCCATGATCTTACTCATATTTGCATTTATTCATAGTGGTCTTGGCTCTTAGAAGATGTTTTGAGTGTTAATGGTGTTTAATTAAAAAAATTTAGAACTGAGGAATGTAAAGCATCTGTGTGGTCAATTCTGAAAAAATTTTTAAAGTTAACATATATGGTCAGAACTTTGACATCATAGAATTTTGAGAAGTTATACATGTTAGACCTGGAAAAGAATCTAGGAGTAGTAGAGTCCAGCCCCTTATTTCACAATTGAGGAAACTGAGGCTTCTAAATGCAAAATGTAGTTTTCATGGTACCTTAAATATACCAATTAAAATCAGTAGCTACTAATTAGTAGCTTTTAGACCTCTTGGGCCATTTTGTAGTTATGATAATTTTGTATAGATCCATATTTGATGTATATTTGGAAAGCCTACTCAAGGTTAGGGGTTGACAAATGATGGCCCACAAACCAGATCCAACTGGACACATGTTTTTGTAAGTGAAGTTTTACTGGAACATGGGCCATACCCGTACATTTTGTCTATGGCTGCTTTCACACTATGGCAACAGAGTTGAATAGTGACAGAAACCATATGCCCCATAAAGACTAAACTATTTGCTACCTGGTTATTTACAGAAAAGTTTGATGACCCCTGCTCTAGGGGGTTGTATTATCCAAGGTATCTTTTATTCTGCAGCCTGTCAAGGGGTTTGTATTTTTGCTTTTCTAGAGTTAAAATTAATTTTGACAATGATCATAATTTAAAGAGTGGTACCATGTGTTAATTTTGAGACTTAAGGGCACTGACGCAAAACTTAAGAGCCGCCAAATAAACTGTTAGCAAGAAAACATTCTTTCATGGATTGGGGTTTGCGGGTTTTCCTCTGGGTAAGAGAGATGGATGTTGGGAAATGGCCTGAACCAGTAAAAGTCATTATGAAAGTAATTCCCAGCGATCCTGTAACATTTAGAGTTCATTACCTCAAATGCTACATTGCCTCGGTACATCTTTAGACGCTGCTCATTCGGCCGATCACCCTTTTGAAAGGCAATGGAATTTGCCCTACTTAACACAACTCTCAGCAGCTGGGGATGTGGAGCTCGTTATGGGTAAGGGCTCGCTAGAAGCTTTACTTGCAATCCAGTGGCAGGAATGCTGCTTGGAGGAAAGGGGACAGAAAGCTCAAGACCACAGCCAGTTTAAAATGCAACCTCATTAGTAGCAATTAGCATTCAGTCATGCCTGGGAGATTGTCCCCATAAAGCAGATCAAATCAATTACTGCCTGCCTCTTAGACAGAGGAGGCTATTGCAGATCACTATGGCTAGTTCTGATCTTTTGTGTCTGAGACTAGGAGCAGATTTGATTATATTTTAAGACCTTCTCCCCAGAGGAGGGCTTCCCTCTTTTCCTTCCTTTGTGTGCACAAAGAAATATAGCTCCTGTCAAGAAAATGCCTGCTGGTGTCTTCAAGGTTTTGGTTGCAGAAGAATTGGGCAAATTTCAAGGACGCTGGAAACTTTGTGACTTTGTGAATGGATATGGGGACCTGGAGGGGTTTGCTCATAGTGAAACAGATTGAAGGAGAATGAGGTTCACACGTGACGTGGATGCTAATTCCTCTCATGACACATACAAAGCAGCTCTAAAGAACATCAAAAAATTGATTGTGTTCCTGCTAATGGCTAAGCTAGTGACAGCGTTTTTGTCTTTTTAGGAGATGATGGAGAAGGGTCAGCTAAGGTGCTTTATGAGCTTCTTGGGAAAGAGAAATGTAAGCACTGGACAGGGCCCTGGTATGGATTCTTAATAGCTGGCAAATGTGCCCAGAGGCACTTTCTGTCCTCCTGCACTGCCGGAGCCCAGAGAATAGTAGAGCACATTCCTTGGGAAAGAGCTAAAGATTTCTGCTTTTTATGCAGCATTTTGTGTCAGTAACAGTTTGTATAATCTTCACTTGGTGTTCACAATAAGATGCTCTCAGTTAATATTACTTTGCATTTATATGGTTCATTTTATCTCATACAAAACACACTTTACACATGCCAGGAGCTGCTTTTCTGGGGTATGACTATGTCCTGATACGATAAAGCTTCTCTTCGCCTGCCCTGTATCATCAACAAAGAGAATTCCCCAGGCCCCTCCACAGAGTGCCCCTCAGAGGCATCATTAGCTATAAGAAGTGGGGTAGGTTACAGCATACGAGTAAACTCATGCACAGAGATACCCTGCAGTGTGGCTGGGGTTCTGCATCTGCTTCCTCAATCTCATCACACCAAGTACCCTCTAAAAAACATACTGTCCCAGGAAAAATTCCAGGGTTCTTGCTATGCTAACTGAGCTTTATAACAAGTCCCTCCTGGGCCAGGCTGCTGTCCCTAAGTCTCTTCAATACTAAAATCCATTGGCAAAAAGCTTAGGGTGGCATTTCTCAAAATATCTGAAACCACCTGCATGACAATCACTAAGGGTGCTTGTTAAAAATGCAGATGACCAGGCTCTTCCACATCCCACTGAATTGGATTCTGAGGGTTGGGTATTTACATAATTTGTATATATATTAAAGTCTGAGAAGTGCTTGTTGATTTCCTAATGGCATGAAGTTTCACTTATGGGAAGTAATACTGGAGTATGAGACTTGATATGTGCTGTGTGTGATCCCCCAATTTATGGTTTGCTCATCAGTGTTTATTCCAGGTCTCTGCTATTAAGCCTGAACCTTTCTCTGATTCAACTTATTTTTGTTTGGTCAGTGTTCCCAGGATGGAAGAGTTGCTGGCCTAGGGCAGGGCTTGCGGCAGCCAAGAGACCGTTATAGTTCTTCAGGCTATAGGGTCACCATAAGTCATATAGGTTTTCATGGGAAGAAGAATAGAAATTAAGACAGGTAAGGTATGGGGAACTGGGCTAGGAGTTGCATGCAGAATCCATTTGATTAAGTCAAGACACCAGCATTCAGAAGGTATTGATATGAAAATGACTCTGAGCTTTTCTTTCTTTCTTTCTTTCTTTCTTTCTTTCTTTCTTTCTTTCTTTCTTTCTTTCATTCTCTTTCCTTTTTTTTTTTGTTTTTTAGACAGAGTTTCACTCTTGTTGCCCAGGCTGGAGTGCAATAGCATGATCTCGGCTTACTGCAACCTCTGCCTCCTGGGTTCAAGCGATTCTCCTGCCTCAGCCTCCAGGTGGCTGGGATTACAGGCATGCACCACCACGCCTGGCTAATTTCGTATTTTTAGTAGAGATGGGTTTTTTCCATGTTGGTCAGGCTGGTGTCGAACTCCCGACGTCAGGTGATCCGCCCGCCTCAGCCTCCTAAAGTTCTGGTATTACAGGTGTGAGCCACCATGCCCGGCCCGACTCTGAGCTTTTCAAAATGGCTCTCCAAATGAAGATTTTACAACTTGTATAGGGCTAGATGTACTTCATCAGTCACTTTTGCACAGGGCCCTGTGTTTGCCTTCACCACTCTCCTGTCAACATGCTGGGCAACTTTAATCCCTGCATTGTTACTTGTTTATCCCTGCAGCCTCTGATCCATTCACGTTTCACATACTCTGACTGTCCCACTATGTTCTAGGTATAGGGCTTTGAGTTGAGGGCTCACAGATGAAGAGACAGAGTTCCTGCACTTGAAGTACATAGAGAATAGATGAATATATGAGGACCCAAGAAAATTTGCAAGCTACTGCTTCATCTCTTTCACTTTCCTTCCATTACAGCCATTCTCAAGTGTATTCCCATTATGGATTTCATCGTCAATCAGAAAAGCCCCATATTCATGACCTTGAACCCACACCTTGTCTTCTGAGACCCCAGTATCTTTATCAGCCGTATCTCTAAATTTCTCTCACTTATTCCCCACATTCATGCTAGCATTTGATTTCTTTCCCTTCTTTATTCTTCATGACAGATTTGGAACCAACTTGTCTTTTTACTTATTTTTAATCTGGGTGCACCCATTCGATGCTTCCTTCTTGAGCTTTAGAATTTCTTTTCTCCTTGAACTTATGTGGACTTTGTTGGGTCAATTCAAGCCCCTGGGTTACCATTTTTATTTTCTTTCTCCATTCATGTGCAGTGGTCTTTGGAGTAGAGAAAGTCATGAAATAATGTTGATTGGAATTGTACTAAATCCATTTGATGTGGCTTCTGCTTGGCCCTTGCTGTGGCTCTACTGTTCTTTTATTTAAATCTCTTTTCTTGCTTTTGCAGATGTTATTCCAACCTCTCAAGGTCTCAGTATCATTCCTGTCTCTCTCAATATGAGTAGCCAAACTTGTCTCTTACATTCTGTAGAATACCCAGAATACTTAGCTGAACTTTCTAATTCTCCATCTTCCCAGTCAGTTTAGTCTTCTCACTGCTCCAAATTTACATTTTTAGTTAACTCACCTATTTTGTTTTAGGAACTCATCTCTGTCCTTCAAGGCAAACTCTTCTGTCTGGGTTCAATAGAAGAGAAAACTTCATAATCCAATGAATTTTGGAAGTCCAGTATAGCAAGTGTGTGGTGGTTTCAAAAAATTTCCACAAATTCTTTCAAATCCTCTCTTTAAGAGATGAGGCTTACTTCCCATCTCCATGAGTATGGGCTGACCTAGTGACTCACTTCTTACAAAGAGTAGATGATAGAAATGATGGTGCATGCTTTCTGAGATTAGATCGTAAATGGCATTGAACCTTTCTCCTTGACTTCTTTCTTGGATCACTCACTGTGGAGAAAGCCAACTGCCATGTTGTAAGGACACTCAAGCAGCCTAATGGTAATATTTATCCCATTCTCATCTGGCTTGACTTATGTATGATCTTGAGCAAACTGAGGTTAGTTAGTCCTTCCAAATTCCACTGGATTGGCACAATCTTTTTTGAGTCTACTTCAGTCTGTGAAATAAAACCACCCCAAAGCCAAAGTCCTTTCAAAGCTAAGGAGATAAATCTGTGTGGTGTTGGCAGAGTCTGAATTGAAGGGCAAGCAAATAGCAGCAAGGATTATAAATCCCTGCTTCTTACAACTATAAACCAATCTGTCCATAGTGAGAAAGCATTTAATAAAGGGTTTCATTGTACTAGAGGAAATGGAAAATTATACTCCATGAGCAAATGGTCTGCCAGCAACAGCCTGGAACCAGCAGCAAGGGTGCCTTTTAATGGTTTTTTAAAAAATCAATAACTTTAGACTTTTTAATTAAACTAGTATAAGTGGGAAGAACACTTAATTACAGCTTCTATTCCTTCATAAAATGTTCTCTGTGAAGAACTAGTAAAATCAGATTTGGATTCTTCCCAGTCAACATACATATATTTTTTTCATTGTGTTAGTGGGCTGATTTCTTGGTTTTTGGTTGCCCAGAAATAAAAGTAAGAATAAATGGGGGAAAAAGTAACAAAATAGAAGCCTACCTAAACAGCACTGGAGACATCATAAATCCCGACCTGGGCTTTATGGAAAGGATGAAAAAGAATCGAGATTTCAAACAGCAGACACAGTACATCCTGTTCCTATTATAAACAAGAGCAGGAGAGGATTGGCCAATGTCCAATTTTGAGAAGGTACCTAGAGATTTGTAATATATTGGTGAGAGCACTGGATGTTTTTAGGAATAAAATGCTAGCATGGTGCTTCTAAAAATATCCTTAATGCAATGGAATTTATGTCTTCAGTTACTCTATTTTAATTAAATTCTTTCCTCCACTTGTTTGCGCTTCTTCCTTTTTATTTTTCTCGTCCTCCTTCTGTCCTGGGGGCTCTTCCACATTAGCACAGGCGGTGATGCTCAGTGGTACTGACAGGCTGCCAGGCCGATGCTGCTTGTCTCCCCAGGAGCCCAGCTTACACCAGCCCCTTGCTCTGATTCATGATCTGGAAAATTCTCTATGCCCAGGTATGACAGAATTCACCCTGCACAGACAGTGGCCACAGCTTAAAGACCCCTCACTTTTCCTATTCCCTGCCACCCATTTTCTGAAGCTACAGACCTGAAGGTAAACCAATATAAAAACCTTTGAACTTAAAAATAAAACAATATTTATGTGTTAGCAAAATCAATTTAAAAGTCACCTTGGCATACTATAGGCCGTGAAATAACTTACACGGTGGGAAGTTGTCCCTTTCTTTGATTGCTATGCAAAGTGATGTGACTCTGTGACGTGTGGTATGAGAAGCCCAGGAAGCTAACTCAGGTTCAACATGCTCAGTAAGTAACTTTAGACACACTCTGGCAGTTTTATATAAAATGAAATAGTGTTGTAGATGAGCTGAAAAACATAAATTGAGTGTCTATCTATCTATCTATAAAGCTGCAGCATCATCAGCCAGAAATAGCACATAGGACATGGCAGCTAACCCTCGCCACAACCTCAGCACTGTTCATTCCGGAAGATGTGCTTAATCTCACAAAAGGCAGGGCCAACTCTCTTGTCTCATTTTGCTATTTTAGGGCCAGTCTTCCCAGCCTAAAAGCCCATATGAAGGCTCACAGGAAAGACACCAAGATGAACAGATCACAAAATGAGTTCTAGAAAGAACACTCACAGAAATAAAGATTCTGGTTTGGAAAAGAGCAACCTCATAACACTATGAGGGCTTATTTTTCTCACCTCTCAAGTATAAAAGCAAAGTTGTTTGAGTGACAATAAAGGATTGGTGCATGCAATGGAGACCTCCTCTGAATGTGTCTACAGTTTGCAGCTGGGGGATGGTCCTGTTTGTCAGTAAAGCTCCTCTCTCAGCAAATGATCAGAAGAGGTCTGGCCTTGCCTGATACTTCCTTCTGTTTGCAACCTTCTGTAGCTCCCAGTTTCAACATATTGGGGTTGAGTTGGAATCAAGCCCTTGCTTTTGTATGTCTTTTGAAAGAATCATTATTTATAATAAAAAAGAGAATTTTTTGTCGTAAGATTTGGGTTTTCTTTACTGGCACTTCTCTGTCAGTCTTTCTTAGAAGGCTCCCAGAGAGAAAGACCATACACCCCTTACTTGGTGACTTTCTCAAAGAGAATGATCTGGGTGAAAGGTCACTATTGTTATCTAATTGCAATTGATGTTTGTCAAAATCTGGATTAGACAGACTCCTGAAGGAGTGATATGCTAGAATTTCCCCGACTGAAATATTGGCAACTATCAATTACCATTGACCCAATGGAAAAGAAGGGGCTCAATTTCCCAGAGCACGGGCTAATGGAAGTCAGTCCAGTTGTGATGGCAGATTTCATTTTCTAGTTAAGAGAAGACAGCACACACTCAGGAACAAGATCATACTTGAAAAAGTCAGAGGAAGAAGAAAATATGAAATGTATGGGCACTTCCAAGAAATTGTACATGATAAAATTCAGAATATGCCATCTGATACAAATCTATTTTAGATGCCTTCTGTGCTTCTGTAGTAGGTAATTGGTTCTGGAGCCAACGTTGTCATTGCTAAAATGCATGCACTGCTCCTCTTCCCAGATCTTCACATCAAACACACACCCCTGAGAGCAGCAGTTAGGGTGACGAACTTTTCCTGGTCTGCCTAGGACTTTCCTGCTTCTAGCACTAGAAGTTGCACACTTCAGGAACCACCTTAGTTCCAGGACCCCTCTCAGTCCTGGGCAAACTGGGACAGTTGATCCCCCTGTTTGGCTGCACAATAGAGTCATCTGGGGAAATTTCAAAAATTGTGATGCTTAGGCCACACTCCAGACCAATGAAACCAGAATCTCTGGAGGTGTGATTCACATGATTCCAATGTGGAGCCAAGGTTGAGAGCAGAAGCTGAGAACTCATGCAAACTTTCTATGCTGAAGCCAGAGCTTCCAAAGGCAAAATGACACAGCTATGCTTCTCTTTTGTATCCAATTTGTGATGAATAGTGCGTGCAGTTTAACCAGATTAACTTATCAGAAGCATTTCCTTTGTCCCCAAGATTGAAGACCATTTTGGATCACAAAGCCAGCCTTTGAAGCAACCCTTTTTGATTGTAAAAATGGGTAGCTCTCTAATGGCAAGCAAAATTTGTACAGAACTTTGGAATTACACCCTCCCTTCCTGGCCTTGTTTTGTTTTAGTTCACTGGGATAGGAGGTTAGAAGTGGCTATTTGGAGTTTCTCGTTTCAAGTGCTGGTCACCATTCATGGGGATCTCAGCAGCTTGCTATCTTCCCTTGTCTTTGGGGCTATCACCAGTGAAAGATGTCACTCGCCCCACTTGGGCTACTTCATTTTTTAAAGGTCTGTTCACCTATACTTATTCTGAAAAATCTCTCAGAGAAGATGATGATATAATTTCCATTAATAGCAAGAAGACCAGGTGTATAGGTGTCCTCAGCAGCTCTATACCCCTTTCCTTTCTTGGTTTTTAGTAATAACCAGATAGGTCCTTTAGGGATAAAAGTAATCTGAAAGACTCACTCATTCTGAAGGGCTAAGAAGCTCATGAGTTGATGTCCCCCAAAATTTGCATGTAGAAGGCAATGCTTTCCATTAATTTATACAGCAAATAGTTGAGTCCCTTTATGCCAGGCACTGTGCCAATGACTGTGAATATAATGGTGAACAAGGCATTGTATGGTCCCTGAAGTCATCGAAGTGGCATACTGATGGACCTTGTATTATCAAAAAGGACTGAATCATCAGTCTTAGAATTTTAGGCATTTGTAGAGAAATTTTTGGGTTACCTTGGAATTCTTTATGTTATGGTATATATAGGATACCAAATACTCTGTTGACAGAAAGCTTGGCCCTAGAAATTGGAGTGTTATTTATCTAAGTATATATATATATATATATATATATACACACACACACACACGTATATATATGTGTGTGTATATATATGTGTGTGTGTGTGTATATATATATACACACACACAGCTATTTGAATATTATTTAATTTGTAGGCTACATACTTACTGAAATCTTATTACAAACTGGCTACTACTTAAACAGACATGATGAAATTACTTTTAAGACAAAAAACATCTTATTTTAAAAATTACTATCAATACGTTCAGCTCTCATTGCCTTATTTTTCTGTCACTTTAGTATTTAGTTGAGGCTGTAAGTAAAAGAATCATAGAGACTCCTGCCTATATTTGTCTTCACAGGAGCCTTAGGCCTTGAACCTCTTTGACCCAAGAGATATTTGATAAGATTTTGAAGAAAACAAATCTTAGCAGTTACAGAAGGGGAAAAATAAGAGACAAAAATGAAGCCTCAGTGGAGTGGCATGGCATATCAAGGGCTGCTGCTCCAGCCAATTGAATTAATAATTTAAAGAATCCCTCATCTTTATCATTTAGTGGCATTATTGCTTGGAATTTCAAGACTCTCTCTGCTTGAAAAATTGCATAAATTGTATTTTTCCCTTTTTCTGTCCTGCATTGCTTATTTTCCTTAATCTTTGAGAAGATGAGGTTTTACTAAATACATTTTGTATGTTGTGCTTGGTTTTAACTCTCAGCATTAATGCTATTTGAAATGGTAGCACTTAAGATAGTTTATATTGTGTTATTAAGAATAAAATTATTAATAAAATAGAAATTATCTGGGAGTAGTGAAACAGTCCTCAGGCTGTTTTAGGACCTTTAACCTGGCTATCTATCTATCATCTATCAATCTAGTTTATTTATTTCAGCATACATACCTTTATGCTTAATATAACTGGGTGTTATGTAAAAATATGAGGGTTACAAAGATAAATAGTCTCCTTCTTTGGTATTCATTTTATATAGTTCAATCTTTTGTCTAATAATTACCATGTCTATTTTGGAAACAATAGCTTGAAGGCAGTTTCTAACAAATAAGACACACAATAGCAGGCAATGAAAACTCAAGTGCTCTCTACTAAACAAATGCATTGGTGCCTGGGACAGCTCTTATGAGTTCCTCTGGATAGTGTTGAGGAATAAAATTATAATTACTAATTAGCTTCTCTGTGCAAGGTCCTTGTCAAGTGCAGTCAAGGGATGGACAAATAATACGCCTCTCTACTTCTAAAAGAGCCTAAGATACACTTGGAAACAAACTGGCAGTAGAAGAGAGAGACATGATTTCTACCACAGTTAGTAAGGAGAGTTTGAATGACACAGAGGCGATGTATACAGGATCTTAGATGCTGAATAAGGAACTGATAGGTGCAGAAGAACTGGCAGGGTGTTCTAACTTGAGCATGTAGTTAGTTGCCATGGGAAAGCTTGAGAATCATAGCTTCCCCCAGGCTCTGTGACTAACATCATAATAAATGGCACCACACCACACTGTAATGACAGTCACCTGCTCTTCCTATGTCAGGGGTCAGTAGACTTTTGTAAAGGGCCAAAAAGTCAGTATTTCCAGCTTTGTGGGCCGTGCAGTCTATGCTTCAAATACTCAATTCTGCTGTTGTCTGAAAGCAGCCATAGACAATACCTAAACAAATGGGCATGGCTGTGTGCCAATAAAATTTTATTTACAAAAACAGATGGCAAGTCAGATTTGGTCCATTGACTGTCATTTGCTAATTCCTTCTCTATTCTACAAATCCAGTGTTTAATTGTCCTTTTTCCTGTGTGCTCGATGGTGGTAAGAAAGTCATATTCTAAAAGAAGCATTGACTAAGAAATGAAAGCACACTAGTTCATATAAATCAGCTGAAAAGATGAATGTTAGAGAGCAAATCGTTAACCAAATAGAAGCTATAGATAGAGACATAATTGTCTCTAGTTCATTTGTCCTTTTTCTTGGTTCTAACTCCATAATAACAAACTCCAGTTTTTAGTTTATTTATTTATGAAATGACCTGTTACATTTTGGGTTCAGTAAGTTAGTAGAAGTTGTCTGATTTACCCATGTGTTGTCTGACCCTCATCTTTTGGAGATGACCAGGCTTGAGTGGGATGCTCCAAATTGTATTTTTGCAGCATTTACTATTGGAAACATGCAATGAATTTTTATTCATTAATTCTCAACAAGAATAAACAAGGCATTTCCTCAGAAATCACAATCCATATTAGGCACAGTGACAAAGTCCATTCTTTTATATAGTGCATAAATAAGGCATTATTAATGAATAGGTAGATTATATTAGGCTGAGCATAATGTCTTCAAATTTTTTTTTTAAATTTTCTTTCAAAAGACTTAAATAATATTTTCACTGGATAAAAAATTCTAGGTTGACAGATTTTTTTCTTCCCTTCAGAACTTTAAAGATTTTGTTCCACCTCTATGGCTTCCCTGCTTTCTGATGAGATGTGTACAGAAATTCAAATTATTGTTCCCTTATCAGTCTCTAGTTTTCCTCTGCCTGCTTTCAAGATTTTCTCTTTATCTTTGATTTTCCACACTTTGACTGTAAATGCCTACTTTGGTTCTCTTTGCATTTATTTTGGTTGGAGTTTTCAGAGTTTCTTCAATCTTTTTTATTTTATTTTATTTATTTTATTTTTTTTTTTAATTGATCATTCTTGGGTGTTTCTCACAGAGGGGGATTTGGCAGGATCATAGGACAATAGTGGAGGGAAGGTCAGCAGATAAACAAGTGAACAAAGGTCTCTGGTTTTCCTAGGCAGAGGACCCTGCGGCCTTCCGCAGTGTTTGTGTCCCTGGGTACTTGAGATTAGGGAGTGGTGATGACTCTTAACGAGCATGCTGCCTTCAAGCATCTGTTTAACAAAGCACATCTTGTATCGCCCTTAATCCATTTAACCCTGAGTGGACACAGCACATGTTTCAGAGATCACAGGGTTGGGGGTAAGGTCATAGATCAACAGGATCCCAAGGCAGAAGAATTTTTCTTAGTACAGAACAAAATGGAGTCTCCTATGTCTACTTCTTTCTACACAGACACAGTAACAATCTGATCTCTCTTTCTTTTCCCCACATTTCCCCCTTTTCTATTCGACAAAACCACCATCGTCATCATGGCCCTTTCTCAATGAGCTGTTGGGTACACCTCCCAGACGGGGTGGTGGCCGGGCAGAGGAGCTCCTCACTTCCCAGAAGGGGTGGCCGGGCGGAGGCGCCCCCCACCTCCCTCCCGGACGGGGCGGCTGCCGGGCGGAGATGCTCCTCACTTCCCAGACGGGGTGGCTGCCGGGCAGAGGGGCTCCTCACTTCTCAGACGGGGCAGCTGCCGGGTGGAGGGGCTCCTCACTTCTCAGACGGGGTGCTGCCGGGCAGAGGTGCTCCTCACATCCCAGACGGGGCGGCGGGGCAGAGGCGCTCCCCACCTCTCAGACGATGGGCGGCCGGGCAGAGACGCTCCTCACTTCCTAGATGTGATGGCGGCCGGGAAGAGGCGCTCCTCACTTCCCAGACTGGGCAGCCAGGCAGAGGGGCTCCTCACATCCCAGACGATGGGCGGCCAGGCAGAGACGCTCCTCACTTCCCAGACGGGGTGGCAGCCGGGCAGAGGCTGCAATCTCGGCACTTTGGGAGGCCAAGGCAGGCTGCTGGGAGGTGGAGGTTGTAGCGAGCCGAGATCACGCCACTGCACTCCAGCCTGGGCACCATTGAGCACTGAGTGAACGAGACTCCGTCTGCAATCCCGGCACCTCCAGAGGCCGAGGCTGGCAGATCACTCGCGGTTAGGAGCTGGAGACCAGCCCGGCCAACACAACGAAACCCCGTCTCCACCAAAAAAATACGAAAACCAGTCAGGCGTGGCGGCGCGCGCCTGCAATCGCAGGCACCCGGCAGGCTGAGGCAGGAGAATCAGGCAGGGAGGTTGCAGTGAGCCGAGATGGCAGCAGTACAGTCCAGCTTCGGCTCGGCATCAGAGGGAGACCATGGAAAGAGAGGGAGAGGGAGAGGGCAATGTCTTCAAATTTAGCATTCCATTTCCCACACAACAGTTTGAATCTATCGATCTTTATGGAATATAGGGTTCCATGATAATTTATTATTCCTAAGCCCAATAACTTTCTCACACAGGAGATAGAAACCACACCAGTAATATTAACAGAGATAATTTAATATAAATAATATTCATAGGCATTAGAAAGCTAAATAGGAAAAAATGGAAACATTAAGATATCATGGAGGTAGCAACTGCAGGAAGCACTGTCATCTTTACAGCTCGGAACGGAGGAAAAAAAAAATTGACATTAAAATGTAGAAGCTTAAAGGAAGGGGCCTCTCTGGGGGGCGGCAATATTTGGCTTGTGCTGTTGTCTCTAAACTCAAAGAAGAAACCCATGGAGCTGGGACTTAGACCTCTAAGAAAAGGACTTGGCCAGTGAGAGATGACATCTCTGAGGGTATGCTATGAGGCTGGTTCTGAGAGTGTCAGCAAGACTGCAAACTGGACTCAATTGCTGCCGGAATGAATTACCACTGCTAGGGCAAAGCAGCAAATAGGAAGAAGCAAATTGGGTCCTCCTCCAGGCTTCCAATGTTTTTCTAACATCCCCCTATTGGCAGAGTCTAATGAAGACCAGCTGGCCAAGCAGAAATGTGGTTTGCAGACTTCCAGCCCCAATATCACAAAGCTGACTATGGTCAGAGTGGGTTTGAAGCAGAGAGTCAAGGGCTTAACAACTGGCGCACCACATAAGAGCATGATTCTGCAAAGTTGCATGTAAATAAAATTTTATTAAATAGAATAAAAGTTTTTTTTAATCAACTGTAAGAATAATTTCAAGAGTGCCTTTATATTTCTGAAAAAAGCTGTAGATAATTGCTGAACATTTTAAGTTTTCAGTGTTTCTCCTTTCTTCAAACCAGGGGTTGGTACTTTTTTTTTTTTTTGTAAAGGGCCAGATAGTAAATATTTTAGCTCTGTAGGCCATATGGTCTTTGTCACATCACTCAACTTAGCCACCACTAGTCAATCCTGTATTTGTCCCAACTACTCAATTCTGCCATTGTTGTGTGAAAGCCATCATAAACAATATGTATGGGCATGACCGTGTTCCAATAGTACTATATTTACAAAAACAATTGGGAGGTCAGATTGGGACCATGGGCCATAGTTTGCCAACCCTCACTCTAGTGCAGTGATTCTCAACCCTGGATTCACATTTAGATTAATCCTGGAAATCTTTAAAAATACTAATGCCACCCGGGACACAGGGGCTCACACCTGTAATCCCAGCACTTTGGGAGGCCAAGGCAGGATGATCACTTGAGCCCAGGAGTTCAAGACCAGCCCGGGCAACATAGTGAGACCTTCGTCTCTACAAAAAATAAATAAATAAATAAAAATTAGCCGAGCATTGTTGCACATGCCTGTATTCCCAGCTACCCCAGAGGCTGAGGTAGGAGGATTGCTTGAGCCTGGGAGGCCGAGGCTGCAGTGAGCTATGATCACACCACTGCCCTCCAGCCAGGGTGAGAGAGTGAGATCCTGTCTCAAAAAAAAAAAAACCATAAATACTAATGCCCAATTCCTACTTTCAGAGATTGTAAGTCAACTGGTTTAAAACAGGGCCCGGATATTAGTATGTTTTAAAGGTTCCATAAGTAATGTGAATGTGCAAGCAGAGTTGGGAACCATTGCTTTAGACTCCCTCTAATCCCTTAATCAAGTAATCATCAATAATTCTTAAATGCACTAAGAGCATTCACGATTTGAAATAACCCAGAGGTTCTTTCATGAATTATTTCATGACAGTTTTTTTGGAAACCAGCAACATCATTTCCTCATTTATCTTTTATAAGTTTAGATATCCACATATCAATTTTTTAAAAGTAGGACTCAAATGTACATATACAAATAAGTCTCTTATGCATTTGTTGATTTGGTGGAACATGTTCTATACCAAGACACTGTTGTCTTTTCATATTTGCATGTCAAGAATCTAGTATATGTCTAACACGCAGTGATGGTCAACGAATACTTGTTGAAGGAATAAATGAACAAGGGAATGAAGAAGGAATTACTTAGAAATCTTAACCATCATTTATGTCAAGGCTTAAATGATGATTACTATAAGGCTACCATTGATAATTTGTCATGGATCGAATAAGTCTTTATTTTTGTACAAGGATTAATTTCTTTCAGCATGCTGGTAAAAGCAAGTTATATGACACTCTTAAGTCAGGGAAGAACCCAGTGGTCATTTCATTTCCTTAGGCCACACTTGTAAAATTTTCACTGTTTTTATTTACAGTCACACATGTACAGTCCTCAGAAACTCAACAGTGTTTTTTGTATGGTGCTATGGTTTCCATGGCAATTGTGTTTACATTACTGTTATTAGTAGGGGGAAAAGGGGAGATAGAAACACTAACAATGGTAATGTTATTTCACTGTGTGTTACTGGACTGCTCCAGGAATGAGACTGATGGCTCAAGTATAATGGAGAACAGAAACTGTGACTGCAGCAGGGATTCCACCTGGATTTCATGATTGAGAAATCGGCACTGCCAAAGCTTTATAATCCAAGGCTTCCCTATTACTTTACATTGAAAGTCTTAATGACCAGCAAATTCTCGGCTGTTTAGCCTTACTTTTGAATAACAAGATTTTAGAAATATCTTGAAATGGTTTCGATATTTTAAAACTGAAATCAAAATAGCAAGAAACCATTGTGACTTCCTATTGTATTTTCCCCACTGCAACGACTCAGTAGGTATTATCGGATCACAGAACAGCTGACAAATAACATGTCAATTTCTGTCAACATTGTATATTTTACACATGCATCACGTGCATACATTTGCACAGCCAAGTAAGGATTACTAGTAGCTAAAGACTTAAAAATTCTCCTGTGGATCTCCAGACCTCCAGTCTCTAGGCCAGTCCCAACTTCAGTTATAAATATCAGAGATACACCGTTGCTCGGCCGGGCACGCTGGCTCACGCCTGTAATCCCAGCACTTTGGGAGGCCGAGGTGGGCGGATCACGAGGTCAGGAGATCCAGACCACGGTGAAACCCCGTCTCTACTAAAAATACAAAAAATTAGCCAGGTGCGGTGGCAGACGCCTGTAGTCCCAGCTACTCAGGAGGCTGAGGCAGGAGAATGGTGTGAACCCGGGAGGCGGAGCTTGCAGGGAGGCGGAGCTTGCAGTGAGCCGAGATCGCGCCACTGCACTCCAGCCTGGGCGACAGAGCGAGACTCTGTCTCACAAAAAAAAAAAAAAAAAAAAAAAAAAAAGATGTATAATTGCTCATCTGCTTATAGGTTATCAGCCTTGATTAAATATTAGAAACACCTAGGGAGTTTGAAAAATCACTTATGACTGGAAGCCCCTCCTAGGTGATTTAATTTGTTGTAGGGTTGTCCTCCAATAATTATCCAAGCTGATTCCATTGTGTGGTCATTGTTGAAAACTTTTACTTTATGTCCTGTGCTGATACTCTGGTTTTCTAATCCAAACCCATTTGCTTTTGTCCCTACTTCAAAGGTCTTTCTAGCACTGGCACCTTGCCTTGCATTAATACTGGAGACCTAACTTTGAGTGGTCTTGTGGGTGAGGTTGTTCACTTGATTGTTTACCTTTGTGCCATTTGCCTACATTTTGAATTTGGGCTCCTTGTGGAGTCTTTGCTGGACCAGCTTGTCAATATATACTCTACTTGACCACTAAGTGGTGCATGCTTACCCGGGTGGCATCTGTTATTTTGTCTATTATCCCATATGTAGGCTATCACATTTTGCCTCCTAGCCTTTGCCTACCTTCCCAGAACCTTTTGCTCCACAGAGGGTAGGTCTCCTTCTAGGCACCTTCCTTTCTCAGCCTATTTCATTATGTTGCTGTTTCCTGGGCCGTGTCTGGTTGTGTTCAAAGATATGAAAAACCACAAATAATTTACATAAGCTCATATATTTTACGTAGAAAATGCTTTTGCTCAAATAACCCAGGCATTTATAAATGGTGTCAGAATTCTTAAGACTCTTTAAGTCACATGGTTTGAAAAGGAAGTAAAAGTTTTCTTAAAGATCTTTGGAAAGGAGAAAGGGAATTCACTTGAAAGAAATACAAGGCTCAATTCCAAAACCAAAGCTATCTTTAACTTCATAAAGAAATTTATTTTATTGACACACTTCTTTTTCTTACTCTCCACTCCTGTAGCAGAAACAAAGCTCTCTGGTCACCAAACTGTCTTGTTTTCCTTTTCCTGGGCAGACAGGGAGACTCATTTCCTTGGCCTTTTCGTAGTTGAGACCACATAGCAGGGTCCTTCCCAGTGGGATACTAGTGGGAGCTATTGAAGCCATTCCCAAACCAAGTCCTTAAAAGCACCCATCTGGTCGCCTAGCTGCCCAGTCTTCTCTTTTCCTGCTGCCACACCCTTGGGAGCCATGTGTTCCAAATGGTGCAGCTACAAGATGGCAGAGTCTAGGATGGAGGCCAGTGTGGTTGGAGTTGAATACAGGGGTAGAGTTGTAGATTCTCCTGTAGATTCTTCTCCTTTGTAGGGAAGATCCTCATTGACTATCTCCATTGGATTTTTGATGTGAGGGAGAAATATACCTTGGTGAAACCATTGGAGTTTTTTGGTCACCACAGAATAAGTTAGCTATCTAATCAACACATCTCATTTCTATTTTTAAAATATTTTGCTCCGAGATATAATTGAGAAAGCAATACAAAGTTTGATGTAGAACTACTTGATGAAGATAAGTGACCAAAACCTTTTACCATAGCAGGATTAAAGTATAATAAACTCTGAAATATTCCTATGATATTATTCTAGTTTATTATATTCATGTCTGTACAGGAAATGAGAAATTGACCTATTTTATGTTATATATACATGCAGCAAATTCTTTTTTTTTTTTTTGGATGGGGTTTCACTCTTGTTGCCCAGGCTGGAGTGCAATGGTGTGATCTCGGCTCACCGTAACCTCCGCCTCCCGAGTTCAAGTAATTCTCCTGCCTCAGCCTCCGGAGTAGCTGGGATTACAGGCATGCACCACCATGCCCAGCTAATTTTGTATTTTTGGTAGAGATGGGGTTTCTCCATGTTGGTCAGGCTGGTCTTGAACTCCGGACCTCAGGTGATCCGCCCGCCTCAGCCTCCCAAAGTGCTGGGATTACAGCTGTGAGCCACCGCACCCAGCACAAATTCTTACAAACAAAAATCACGGAACAGAATCTAACTGTTTGATGTATGTTTTATATCTCTATAATGTTATAAGGTCCTGGGATGGAAATTATCACAGTATTAATCACACCTTTCTCCTTGATACTTGTTTTCGCTTAGTTTCTAGAACACCACCTTCTTCTGATTTTCCTCCAATCTCAGCAGTCACTAATTCTTTTTTAAAATTATTTTTTATTTTACTTTAAGGTCTGGGATACAAGTGCAGAACGTGTAGGTTTGTTGTTGTAGGTAAACGTGTGCCATGGTGGTTTGCTGTACTTATCAACCCGTCATCTAGGTTTTAAGCCCTGCATGCATTAGCTATTTGTCTTAATGCTTTCCCTTCCCTTGCCCCCAACCCCCAACTGGCCCCAGTGTGTGTTGTTCCCCTCCCTGTGTCCGTGTGTTCTGATTGTTCAACTCCCACTTATGAGTGAGAACATGCAGTGTTTGGTTTTCTGCTGCTGTGTTAATTTGCTGAGAATGATGGCTTCCAGCTTAATCCATGTCCCTGCAAAGGATATGATCTCATTTCTTTTTATGGAACAGCCACTAATTCTAAGTCCCTTTTGCTGGTTTCTTCTAATCTCCTTAAATTCTGAAGGTCTGGCCGCTCCAGGCCTCAGTCCTTGGACCTATTCTCTTTTCTACATAAAATCCTCACTTGATCTTATCATTTATTTTCAGGACTATAAATGCCATGTATACATCAAGAACTCCAAATTCATATCTCCAGTTGTGATTCTCCCCTGAACTCCAGATTTGTATATCTAGCTGACTTCTTGACATCTCCATTTGGATGTCTAACAGGCACATCAAACTTAGCATAAGCAAAACTAAATTCATGATCTTTCTCCTGGAGACCTCTTCCTTCCACAGTCTTTCTTGTCTCAGTAATAGGCAATTCCATTTTTCCAGTTGCTTAGGCTGAAATTCTTGGAGTCAGTTTTGGCTCCTCTCTTTCATTTCATACATTCAATCTGTCAGCAAATTCAGAATCCAACTACGTATTTCCCCACTGCTTTCACAATGTTCTTTATTTGGATTATTGCCTTCTAACTGCACTACCACAATCTATTTTCAACACTGAAGCTAGAGTAATCTTGTTAAAATATAAAAGTCAGGTTATGCCATTCTTCTGTTTAAAACCTTCCATTGGCTGCCTATCATTCTCTTAATAAAGTCCAAGTCCTTATAATGACCTACAGAGCCACACAAGATTGATCCTCCATGGTCTCCTTAACCTTCTTTTGCTCTCTCCTTGGATTCAAGTTCAACCACACTGGTCTCCATCCTATGCTTTTTTTTTTTTTTTTTGAGACAGGGTCTTGCTCTATAACCTGAGCTGGAGGGTAGTAGCTAGTGGCATGATCATGGCTGACTGCAGCCTCAACCTCCTGGGCTCAAGCAATCCTCCCACCTCAGCCTCCCAAGTATCTGGGACTACAGGCATATGGCACACCATACCCAGCTAGCTGTTTAATTATTTATTTATTTTTTGTAGAGATGGGGTCTCACTATGTTTCCCACGATGGTCTTGAACTCCTGGGCTCAAGTGATCTTCCTACCTTAGCCTCCCAAAGTGCTGGGATTACAGGCACAAACCGCCACACCCAGACTCCATCCTATTCTTTAAACAAACTAGGCATCCTCCCAACACAAGTCCTTGAGAAGAAAACCTTACTGTTTTCTCTGCCTGGAACACCCTTTTTCCCAGGTATCCACAGGCCTTCTCCCTCATCTCTTCTGGAAGTTTGCTTGAATGTTACCTTCACAGTGAAACTTCTTCTTACCAGCCCATTTAAAAATGTACTCCCCCAAACTCAGCCCTTCCCATCTTTCTTCCATTCTTTAAATTTCTTCATATTGCTATTCACCATCTTACATGTCATACTTACTTGTTTACCATCTCTCTCTCTCTTCCACTAAAATATAAACTTTATGATTATTCATATTTTGTGTATTTTATTCACTGCTATATCACCAGCACCTAGAACAGTGCCTGGAACAAAGTAATTGATAAATAATTATCAAACAAATTAATGAGTGAAGAAAGAAATGAAGGAATGAATTTTACTACAGGATATAAGAGATGTTGACCTTAAACTATTTCAGACGGATGCTTAAAATATTATCTCATGGTGGCCACCCATTCAGTGGATTACAGTTGAATCCTGTTACTGACTAACAGCATATATGCCAAGGTTTAACAGCCTTAATTGTGTGAGAGTTATTTCTATCTGACTTGCAGAGGTTTAAAGAGATTTCTGTTCCTTGCTCAGTAAAAGTGGATAAAACTAGTTAGAATGCATCATATGATTATATTATCCAGGGTCTAGTTAGAAATACAGAAACCATACTAGGTACTTCAACTGAAGAAACTTAATGCAGGCAACTGACCACACAATCATTGGAGGGTAGAACGATCAAAAAGGGAAGATTGAGGCAATCCATGGATTATAACTATAAGAAGGAGCTGCTACTGCTGGGGTTGGGAGAATAAAATACAGAGAGGGATGATCAAAACTAAGAAGCTTGAAAAGTATCATATAACCCAATAATTCCACTTTTATGTACATACTCAAGAGAAATGAAAACGTATGTCTACACAAAACTTGTGCACAAATGTTCATAGTAGAAGTATTCATAATATCCAAAAAAGTAGAAACAACTCAAATATCCATTAACTGATGAAAAAACAAAATTGGTATATCCATATGATGGAATACTACTCAGCCATGAAAAGGAATGATGTACTCATACATGTTACAACACGGATAAACCTTGAAAGCATCATGCGAAGTGAAAGAAGCCAGACACAAAAGCCAAAAATTGTATGGTTTTACTTATATGAAGTGTCCAAAATAGGCAATCAGTAGAGACATAAAAGCAGGCTAGTGGTTGCTTAGGGCTGGGGGAGAGGTGGAAAATGGGAAGTGACTACTGATTGGCACTGGATTTCTTTTGGGGATGGCAAAAATGTTCTAAAATTGGGTTGTGTTGACAGTTGGACAACTCTGGAGTATACTAAAAACCGCTAAATTGTTCACTTTAAATGGATGAATTTAGTATGTAAATTATAACTCAACAAAGCTGCTTAAAATAAAAGAATATTGGAAGAGGGGCTCTGTGGATCTAGGGTGCAGACCACTGATGAGGGGCCCAAACTGGCTACTTCTGGTACCTCTGAGGAGCCATGATAAAGCTAATTTGGGGAAGGAAAAAAATGTTGGCAGCTGGAACCAACTGTACTGCTGGGATAAAGGGATATCGCTGTTAGGATGATACAGTGACAGCAAGTTAACAGGAGAAATTCTCTTTTCTTCCCCCTCTCCCCAAACTTTTAATCTCTGTCTAGCACCCCCTACCATCAGAACTTCGCAGGAAGCCAGATGGCAAAGGAGAAATATAGTTTGCTGAGTTCCAGTCTCAAAACAGAGTACAGAAGGGTGGATTTGAGTTATTAATGGCCTAAAAATGTATAGGATACAGACCTGTGCCACCTCAGGGTCCATGCATACCTGTTTACACATATGTTAAATTACATTCAACCAAAGATTATTCTGCTTAATGATATACAGTTATCCTCTGCATAAACAAACATACTCTCATCTTCTCTTCAAAAAAGAGAAAGATGAAGTCTCAACAATCATGGTAGTCATCTCTGGTTGGCAGTTACTCTCTTTCTGGAGAAATTTTATTTTTCCCTTAGTTTGGTTACACTTGTACCTGAATCTTCTGTAAGCCATGCAATTTCTGAATCTAAAATTATTTCAAAGTATAACAAAGACTAAATTTTGAGGTTAACTACTACCACCAATACTTACATAAAATAAGATAAAATACTTAAATAATACTTATGTAAAAGAAGGGAAAAGAAGATAGAAAAATGGAGTTAATATTACACACACACACACACACACACACACACATAGAGGCATATATAGATACAAATGTACAAAACAGGAGGCAAGGAAGTAAATATAACTGAAGATTTCATTTCTATAACTGAAGGCCTGTAACTATTCACAGTGCCTTCATTGATATTTATAAATTTCTTCTTCCATTGGTTATTCTGTATTTCTTTTCCCTGAGACAGTTGGTTGCTATTATTTTACCTGGTTGGATGGTTCTACCTATTTTTTGTTTTGTTTCATTTCTTGGTGAGGCGGGGCTTACTGTTAACTTTCACTGTCAAAAATAGAAAGTAACAGAGAGATCCTCAGAGAATCCTTTGGATTCCAGATGTAATCTACCCTGACCCTATTGAATAGAAGCAACTCAGTCTTCTCTTAGTAATCCAAATCAATCATCTCAATTAGGACAGGACTTTATCCTTCTTCGCCTTTGGAGTCAGGGGCATCAGGAGTCCAAAACAGCCAGTGCTAGTCTCAGCTTCCAATTCAGTGAAGCCATATTGTGTCCTCTGCTTGGAACCAAAGCCCCCAAAGGAGCAGAACCCAGGTAATTAGTTTAAATGCAAACATTCTGTGAGCAGGATATTAGGTGTGATGGTGAGAGGATTCACTTCCACTTTCATCCCTTTATTCTTGGGCCCAGGATTTCTGCCTATGGGAGCTAGATATGGATATTGCTTGCTGATTCAAAGTGTTTTTCTATCTCCTGTGAGATAGAGCTCAGTATTTTTATCTTGTTTATCTCCCAACTGGACATAATTAAACCTTTAGTTGGGCTTTTCTTCCTCCTATAAGGTGATGCTTCTGGGTGATGGAGTATAAGGTAAAGTCAATGAATTCCACGGGTGTGCATTCATTGCCACACATTTTTTCCTGTGAACTGAGTTTTTGGTTAGAAGCAATGATTTGTGGGACATAGTGATGGTGAATAAAGCATTCTGTGTGTGCACAGATGGTGGTGCTGGCAGAAACATTATTGACAGGGAAGGCAAATCAATATCTTGAAGACCTGTCTACTCGTGAAGAGAAAACACTACTCTGTTGGTGACAGACGGGATCGGTATAATTAACCTGCCTGCCACCAGGTTGCTGGCTGGTCTTCTGGGACAATGGTGCCATACTGGTGACTTAGTATTTGGTTTCTGCCATTAGTAGTTTAGGCACTCAGCAGTAGCAGTTGCTATGTCAGCTGTGGTGACAGACACGGCTAGCATACAGGAAAAGGAAAGTCCCCTTTTCCTGCCTGCTAATCTTCCTTTAGTGCTTCCTATTGGCAAAACCAAATAGGAAGATAACTGTTAAGGGAGAAATGTAGTTTAACTGAAGCCATAGCTTCACAAAGCGGAATAAAGACTGGTGACTTTAGTTCCACAAGACAATAGCTTACTAACCGTCTGTACCTGGTAAGTATAATTCTCCTCTTTTGGGGCAGAAGAAACTGCATGAAGCTAGGCCTTTTACTTGAACTGAGAGTCATGAGGGCAAAACAGGACCAGCGTGGGCTTTGTTGTTAAATGTCCATCCCATCACAGAACAGTTATGTGTGAGATGGGGCAAATCACCTGATTCCTATGATCCTCTGTTTTTCTATCCATGAATGGTGAATAAAACCATCTCATACACCTGATGTGAAAATTACACGAAATACATGAGGTAACATCTGTCAAAGCACTTGTTACTGAATAAATATTGTTTCTTATCACCCAAATATTTCTAGTTTGAATCAATGATCACTGATTTGAGTTTGGAATGACTTATTACCTTTTAACAATGGTTCTCACTGGGGTTATTTTGACCCCCAGGAGACACTTGGAAATGTCTGGAGACATTTTTGGATGTCACAACTGGGTTGGGGATGTTAATGGCATCTAGAGCATAAAGGCTAGAGGTACTTCTAAATATCATACAATGCACAGACCCCCTGCCACCCAAACCCCAGCAACAAATAGATAAAGCTCCATATATTAATAGTGCCAAGGCTGAGAAGCCCTGTCTTATAATCAGGGCCAGTATGAGTACTTATACACTAAAGCTACTTTCTCAGACGGGAAGGCCAAAGGAAAATAACTTCAAAAGTGGTTGAACTGTGTTTACTGACTCCTTGACACATTGCCTTGGTTCAGCTCCTAGCCATGCCTCTCATATGGGTTCATATGGTGCTTTTAGATTATATTACAATAGCATAGCACAAGAGCACTTACAGAAGATAAATAGCTGCCAAACTGGCCCAGAGACCAGCCGTCTTCCTTTCTAAATTTATAGCCGTCTGATCTTTTGTCTCACAGAGCAAGGAATGAGCCAGCCGCATATTCTCTTCCCCAGGTTAAACAACAGAGACATCTTAGACAGCTTCAGCAGCAGCAAGAGGTAAAACTTACTTAAGAGAGTGTTCACTGAGTACCAGGCACTATGCTAAACACTTTGCATGCATTATCTCATTTAACTTTTCTTCAGAGGCTTAACTTTTTTTCTTTTCTTATATTCAGCCATCATATCAGATTGTATTGAAGTGGTAACTCTTTAAATGGTACTGCAGGGGCATTCAGAGGATGTGGGTATTAATGACTGAGAATGGTGAGTGCTATGCAGGTATTATGCTTTGTGTGTTCTCCTTCCTTGGAAAACAAACTATCTGAAGAGAGAAATTAATCATTGACTTTCTGTCATTCAGTTTGATGCATGTTGTCTATATATGACTGAATGAAAACCAATAGCAACATCTCAACTTTTCAGTTTAGGAAATTATTTTGCACTTGTCTTTTGGTCTTTATATTATAATAATCCAAAAGAAAATTACATCACAAATCCTGCAGAGATATGGCCAAAGTCATTGTGATTGTCTGTATGACGAAGGACTTTTCCATAAATTTTGATCACTAAATATTTGACTTTGTTATTCCATAACAAAATACTATTTCTGAAAATGTGACTCTATAGGCTTCTACCTTAAGGAAAATAAAATGGAGAATCAAATTCTAGAGTAGCAATGCACACTCACATGCACTTGGATTTTCTTTAATCGTTCCCTATATTGAAGAAATGCTTATCCTATGCTCCAGAAAGCCCTGGCTTTAGAGTCAGACATATCTTTTATGACTTTGGGTAAGCTATATAATTTTTAAGAAACTCAATAAAATGGGGATAACAAGACCTACTTCACAGAGTCTTTAGGAGGATTATAGAAAAACAAAGGCAGTGTGTGTAGTATATAGTTGATGCTCTATAAATGCTATTTGTATTTTCCTTCTGTAGCTTTAAAATGGCATTTCCAAGGGACTACAGTAAATACCATTATTAATAAGATATATCACTATCATGAGTCCTTTGGTATGATGCGTTCTGCCAAAAATACATAACTTAACTTCAACTGTTAGAAACATCAGATAAACCCCAAATGGGCAGCATTTTACAAAGTATCCAATCAATGCTTTTCAAAAGTATTAACATCATTAAAGATGGAAAAACTAAAGAACTATTACACATGGAGGAGACGAGAGAGACATAACCACACACAAAGTGGGATTTTTGATAAGACATTGCAATAGAAAAAGGACATTAGGGAAAAAATTGGTGAAGCTTGAATAAATTTTTCCATTTAGTTAATAATATTCCAACATTAATTTCCTGTTCTTGATAATTGTGCTATTGTTGGGTAAGATGTAAACATTAGGAAAAGCAGGCGAGTTATATAAGGGAACTCTTTATACTATTTTCACAATTTTTCTGTTAGCCTAAAATTAGCTTAGAGTAAAAAAAGATCTAATAAGTTGTTGAAAGATAAATACATGTATGCTTCCTGTTAGTTGTATTTCATTAATTCTCCCAAATAGTGAAACAAAGTTTCCAAAAAGCAATACTTTCCTTCTATAGGGACTAAAACTCTCTTACTCACATAAACATATACACATGCACATGTAACTGCAAGACAGTTTAGAAATATATATCAAATGCCTTAAAATATGCATACATTTTAACTGTGCTGTTCCAAATCTAGAAATTTATTCCAAGAATGGTTTTCTTGGAATAAATTTCAGTATTCTTTCATAAGATGTTCAATATGTATTAGTTAAATACACAGAAATTTAGGCTGGGCGTGGTGGCTCACGCCTGAAATCCCAACACTTTGGGTGGCCGAGGTGGGCAGATCACCTGAGGTCCGGAGTTCGAGACCAGCCTGGCTAACGTGGTGAAACCCCATCTCTACTAAAAATACAAAAAATTAGCTGGGCTTGGTGGCGGGTGCCTGTAATCCCAGCTACTTGCGAGGCTGAGGCAGGAGAATTGCTTGAACCTGGGAGGCGGAGGTTGCAGTGAGCCGAGATTGCACTACTGAACTCCAGCCTGGGTGACAGAGCGAGACTTCATTTCAAAAAAATAAAAAATAAAAGTAAATACACAGAAGTTTTTTAAATCCTAAAATTCATACGGAGCCACAAAAATCCCTGAATAACCAAAGCAATCCTGAGCAAAAAGAATAAAGCTGGAAGCATCACACTACTTGACTTTAAAGTATATTACAATGCTATAGTGATCAAAACAGCATGGTACTTGCATAAAAACAGATACATAGACCAATGGAAAAGGACAGAGAACCCAGAAATAAAGCCACATATTTAGAGCCAACTGATTTTCAACAAAGGTGCCAAGAGCATACACTGGGGAAAGGACAGTCTCTTCAATAAATGGTGCTGGGTAAACTGGATATTCACATGCAGAAGAATGAAACTAGGACCCTATATCTCACCGTATATAAAAATCACCTCAAAATAGATTAAAGACTTAAATATAAGACCAGAAACTATAAAATTACTGGCAGATAATGTGGTGAAACACTTTAGGACATTGGTCTGGGCAAAGATTTTATGAATAATACTTCAAAAGCACAGGGAACAAATGCAAGTTGGATTATATCAAACTAAAAACATTCCACACAGCAAATGAAACACCACAGTGAAGCGACAATCTGTAGAATGGGAGAAAATATTTGTAAACTGTTCATCTGACAATGGATCAGTATCTAGAATGAACAAGGAACTCAAACAACTCAGTAACATTAAACAATCTGATTTTAAAATGGGTAAAAGGATCTGAATAGACATTTCTCAAAAGAAGACATACAAATGGCCAAGAACATGAAAAAATGCTCAACATTACTAATCATCAGGGAAATGCAAATCAAAACCACGGTGATATATAATCTCACCCCAGTTAGAATGTCTATTATCAAAAAGACAAAAAAATAACAAATGCTGGCAAGGATGCAAAGAAAAGGCAACTGTTATACACCGTTCATGGGAATGTAAAGTAGCACAGCCAGTATGAAAACCAGTACGGATTTTCTTAAAAAAACTAAAAATAGAACTACCATATGATCCAGCAATCCCACTACTGGGTATGTATCCAAAGGAAAGAAAATCAGTAGATAGAAGAGATGTCTATACCCATACATTTATTGCAGTACTATTCCCTACAGCAAAGTTATGAAATCAACCTAAGTGTCCATCAGTTAATGAAAGGATAAAGAAACTGTGGTATATATACACAATGGAATACTATTCAGCCATAAAAGGGAATGAGACACTGCCATTTGCAGCAACATAAATGAGCCTGGAGGACATTATGTTAAGTGAAATAAGCCAGGCACAGAAAGACAAATACCACATGTTCTCACTCATATTTGGGAGCTAAAAAAGTTTAGCTTGTAGAAGTAGAGTAAAATTGTGGTTGTCAGAGCCTGGGAAGGGTAGGAGGAGGGGAGGATAGGTAAAGGTCACTTAATAGATACAAAATTACAGCCAAATAGGAGGAATAAATTATGTTACATAGCACTAGGTAAATATGGTTAACAATGTATTGCATATTTCCAAATAGCTAGAAAAGAGGTTTTGAATGTTCCCATTACAAAGAAATACTAATTGTTTGAGGTGATGGATATGCTAATTAACATGATTTGATCACTACATATTGTGTATATATCAAAATATCACTCCATACCCCATTAATATGTGCAATTATTACATGTCAACTAAATTTAAAATGTAAAAATATTGGTTAAATAATTGAATATTTTGAAGTTTCTCAATAAAGATGTCTTTCACAGGATAATTTTTCATAATGGAAAGAAGAAACAGCCTAAATCTGTGCCAAACAAAAAAATTGAATTAAAAAAATGGAATAGCTTCAACTATTAAAAATGTTGATGTAGAGATTTATTGACATGGAAAGGTGCTCAGAATACATTGCTAATTGAAAAACATCAGGTTATGAAATCTCATTTTTGTTAAAACTATATTCTTAAAAATATAAAAGGATCTATTCAAATGTTCTCTGATTATCTCTGAATGATGGGATTTTGCATGCAGAAAGAACTATGTTAAGATTGAACTTTCAGGCGAGACAAGAAATTGCAATGGATAAGAGAGTTTAAAATGAGTCAGCTAAATCACCATAAGTGATTTGAAATGAAATGAGAACACAATCTTGTTCAAGGACTCCTGGACCCCTCAGCCATATCAAGGCTATAAAAAAGCATCAGAGACAGGACTTTGTAAAGGAGATTGCTGAAGAAATTTTATTGGAGAGAGCTGCTGCAGTGTTGTGGGTCCTCACTTCCTTTAGAGGTAGAGTGGGAAGGGGTTACCTTCTAACTCCATCCCAGTCAGGGGACCTTAAAGGAAAGCACTGATAGAGTTTGAAATGTGTTTCCTGCTGTTGGGAGATGTGGAGACTGGTGTCTGACTCTTGCCTGCGAAAGCTGCAGAGGAGTGAGGACTGAAGCCAGATTACTGCCCAGAAATGAAAACGAAGGTGAAGCAAGGGGTGAGAAACTGGACTGTTTCCATAGCTAAGAGAGGGCTTCTGTATTTGGATAACCTGAATTTCCAGTTTGTGATGTAGCACATGCAAATAGGAGTGTTTCTTCTGGTCTCGATTTGGGCCACAAGAGATTGAGCAGCCACTTTGGGAGTGTTATGGGGCCTCTCCAATATGGTGGCTCAAGAGATCTGAGCAAAAAGAGGTTGGAGGTTTACCACAAAATGCTCAGCATCTAAGGGAAAAATAAGATGTATCCTTTACTTAAAGGACTGAGGACAGAGTGAACCAGCAGGGAAACACTGAAGAGGACTTTGCATGTCCCAGGAGATAGTTTGAAACATCTTTGAAGCTCAGTGAGTATAATGACTACTTAAGGTATTACAAGATTAAATATGAGCATTTTTCTCTTCTCCTCTCTCCCCACATCCACCTGGTTCTAAAGGAGTCACAGGTTTTAGTATGGCCCATGTGTGTTATAATAAGCATTTATCTACACTTGGTTTTAACCAAAAGGTGGAGAAGCAATAACGTGCATTTATCTAAAGAGTGACAATATACTAAAGCTCAAATTTAAAATCAGAATTGAGGCCCCAGATAGAAGTTTGGGTGTTCGAGTATTTGTTGTTTTCTTGTAAGTCACCTCAGGTTACATTAGTACTAAGGATAGTACGAATTAGGATGATCCCTTCAGGTAAGTGTGGACGTAGCATCCATCAGAGCAGTTAAGTTTCAGCAGGAATATATGACATGCTCTGAAATGGAGGCTAAAAGCTACTTGCACTTTTATTTCCTGATAATAGAATAAATATTAATTACAAAGGAGGTTCATATTCTACTGAGGAGATCTGAAAATATATGTATAAAGAATTCAAATACATGAATTAGTTAGTTTTTTTTTTTTTTTCCTCCCAAGACCATGCTCGCTAGAGAAGATTAGAGTATTGGAATTGAATTGCTAAAAAAAAGTTGCCTTTCTTTTGGAAAATGTGGAAAATCTTTTTTTGGGGCCATCCTTGTTTCTCTTCTCCTTTAATTCCCATTTGACTCATTCTACTACATCTTGACTATGTCTCCATGATGATTATGCTCCAATCAGCATGACATTACTTCAACAGCTGTACTAATTTTCATTCATAGAACCCACTCCCACTGCTATTCCAAGCAGAGCATGCCCATGACTCTGGTGGAGCACTGATGTCTCCTGGGAAGATTCAATATACACTTCCTGTATCATGGGCTAACTCATTTGAATTGGTCTTTCATTTTTGTTGAGGAAGAAAATGACAACTACTTTTTTTTTGAGGGGAGCTAGGCATGCTCTTGCTTTAAACACTAGGAAATGCAATGCCTCTAACTTGTTTCAATAAAAAGATGTAACATCATTGTACTATCTTCCGTCCCCACATGCAACTCGAAGCGTGTTCAGAGAGCAGGATACTGCTCAACTGACTGCTAGATTTACTGATGCTACCTTCATTCTATAGAAGGCAGTGACTGATGCCCGCTGCCTGCTGAATGCCTGTGCCAGGAACGCTGGCTTTATTACACTTCTGTTTGTCATAGTAATTTCATAATTTAATAAAGAAAATTGCTTTATTAAGAAACTGAGCTGGGTACTTTGGAAAGAGTCTTGAAAAGAAAAGTTGCTCAGTCATTGCTGTCAAAAAGTGTGGGAGAGGATCAGTTGAGGCCAGGAATTTGAGGCTGCAGTGAGATAGGTGACAGAGCACGACCTTGTCTGTAAAACTAAAAAAAAAAAAAAAGAAAGTGTGGTGGACACAACTATAAAACATTAAGGGGATTTGTAAAAACTAGAAACATTCTGCACCTTGAATAAATTTGCAAGCAGCTTCAAATTGTCACCCCACTTAAGACTAAACTAAACAAGAAACTTTAGTAAAAGTACTAAGCAAAACCATTTGAACTTTGGCAGACTTCTGCTAAAATAAAAAGTCATAGCCTCACAAGGAAAGAATGGGTAAGTGTATATACATTGATGTGCTGTTATTTAAAGTAGTTTATTAAAATGGGTATTATTTTTATAATTCCTTACTTTAAATGACTTTTTCGGTTTAAGAACCAGCTTCCAGTCCTGAGTGAATTGAAGAGAAATTCCACCCTCTGACCTAGAGCAGGGATTAGCAAACAACAGCCTGGGGATCAAATCGAGCCCGTCCCCTGTTTTTGTATGACCCATGAGCAAAGAATATTTTTACATTTCTAAATATTTGAAAAACAATCAAAAGAATATTTTGAGATATATAAAAGTTATACAAAATTCAAATTTCTATGTCTATGAATAAAGTTTTATTGAAATACAGCCACGTCCATTCTTTTAAGTACTGCCTATGGTTGTTTTCAAAACTACAATAGCAGAGTGAGTAGTTGTGACAGAGATTATATGACCACAAAGACAAAAATATTTACTGTCTGGTGCTTTACAGAAAAAGAGTTTGCTGACCTCTGACCTACAGCATTATGGAGAACTTTCTTCCCTCCCTTCTATTTTCCTTCGGTTTGATGGTGGGAGGCGTTTAAGGTCACCTTCTCCCCTCCAGGTCAACTGGATAAATATTGCCTTCCTGTGGGCTAGGAGTCACATGAGGATGACATGCTTTTCTCAGCAATCAAACATTTTCTATGTCAGGACCAAGTGAAAAGAATCAAGAGTGACTTTTTAATGCACATTATTTACTCACAGGAAAGCTTTATTTAAGTATAGACAACTCTGAGTTCATCTTTTTTCTTCCGCTTCTTTTCGGGCCAGGTTGCCTCAAAGAACACAGCAATTCTTTTGCTTTGTTTCTATTCTGAAAGAATGATGTGGGTGAATGAGCTGGAGAAAAATGATTTTTTTTTTCCTGCTTGTGCATCTTGGTTTGATTTTCCTTTTGGAGTTGACAGATAATCCTCCTTTCTGATTTACTGGAAAATACTAGCATTCAGAGTTAGGTGTTGGACAGCCAAATATATGATTTAAAAAAGGAGAAAACAATAAAAACCACATCCATTGCTGTTTTTTTTTTTTTTTTTTTTTGGCAGGACGGAGTCAGAGGCACAGAAGAGAAAATAGAGAGAATCCAGAATAGAATTGTAAATTTCTTCTTTGAGCCAAAGCCATACTTTATTGACTATTAGAAAGTGTTCCAGGGGACTTTTTATTGTTCCGTTGGAAGAAGACTAGGATAATATATGATAATTAGCTTCTGGTGTAACAAGGTGTTAACTAAAAGTTTTGACTGAGGAACCAAAGTACAACATGCACTGTCTGAAATTGGGTTCCTTAGAAATACAGCCCAAGACAGAGATTTTTATGCGAGTAATTTGTTAAGAGAGTGCTTTCAGGAAAAGCCTGTAAGGGAGTGGAGAAAGTAAGATAGGGAAAGAGAGAGGCTAAACAAAAATGGTTTCAGGTGTAGTCTAGCCTCAGCTTGAAGCTTTGGGGAGCTCTGGAGCATGAATGGCACCACAGAATCTGCCCACCATGAGGCAAGGAGGCAAGGCTTTTGTTCCTTCACATCAGACAGTCCTGACTCACCCTGGGCAGGGGAGTGAATTCCCAGGCACCTCCTAGCAAGGCCACTCCAATTGCCAAGGGCAATCCTCCAGAGATGGAGAAGGTTGCAGGTGACTGAACTATGCATTCACAGCAGCTGGTCAAGGGACCCTTGAGACCAATAACATCAGCAACGGGATTAGATTATAAATCAGGTTGTGAGGTAGACCATCACACAGCATTTGAAAAGAGTAAACAACTCTTAAACTTCTCAGAGTCATCAAGGGGTTAAGGGTGTTGGAGCAAATCTTCACTTGTAGAAGAAAGCCAGAAAGACAGTGTCTCCTGTTGTGTTGTACAGCAGGTCAGACCCAGGGGAGGGAAATAAGAACCTTTAAATGAAGACTGAAGAGTTCATTATTATAGGGGACTGGACACTCTGACTGGAAACTGTGTTTGGAGATTTAAAGTGACTGTAGACTTTGTGCTACTTGAATGTAAACATCAAAGTAATTGCATTTCTCAATTCTAACCCATGGGCCGGGGAAAAGGTAGCCCGACCTGAGGGAATTTTAAGAGGGCAATGGGAGACAAAATGTACATGCTTTGTGATGGTATCCAGCTAGTTTTGCAGAGCAGCGTTCTCTCTCTACATAGAAGACAAATTATTCATGTACTTAAAATTTGTGGCCACTATTTCTAGAATTGATCAGAACTGTCAAATTCAAGGTGAACATTTTTTATGTGTATATTTTAAAATTTTTGCTCTATAATCTGCTTTTTATTTTAAAACGTCAAACTTGAAAATGCATTTGTGGAGAGGAGTAGAGGGAAGAACTGAGACTGGCCTTCCTGGGTTGCTGATGGTTTTCCAGCTCCCAATTTTTATCTTCCTTGAACTCCAAGAGATCTACTAGTATCCTTCTAATACACTTTTGCTTACTTAGCTTGAAAGAACTTCTGTAACTTACCACCAAAATTTTTTAACTAAGGCTTGTTATATGGGAGTGTCTTAGAAGCAGTTATATAATTCCATGAATACTGTATGGAGGAAATGAAAAGGAGGAAGAGTTTAAGGACTTACCTTGAAGCTTTGTCTTCAGGGCAATCATAGTATTTTTACCTAATTTATCTTAACCTGTAGTACCTCTACGGATGAGTGGCTAATGGAAATTATGCAGGCGCTAAGGGTACACTTCCCAAGTCATCCTTGGGAGGTTAGCATTGTAAGACAGTGTCATTCTCCCCCATTTCACAGATGAGGAAGAAGAGACTCAGAAACTTAAGTAAATCGACCAAGATTATATAGTGGCCAAGTGGCAAGGTCTGGAAGCCTAGCCTGTCTGACTCAAATGACCTTCCTTGTTCCTTCAGTCCTCCTTCTCAGCATGCTGGAAAAACCCAGCTTTAGGGAGAAGTCACTTTCAATATGGCTGTTGTGTGCATCATGGAACAAAGCTTTTGTTTGGAAAGATTTGAGTCTTTGGAGGAAGGTTATTTGTTTCTGTTCATGTAATGCAATTAGTCTGTTAAATGTAAGATGAGAATAAAATGTTTTCCTCTCTGTTCAGTCTATAAGCACACAGAGAACCAAGTCTACCAATGCTGACCCTACTGTGCATGGGGAAGCTCACCAGAAATAAAAACACTAATTTATTTCAGTCTAGTGATTACTTTGGCTCTTCCCTTCTCTCTTAGAGTAAGTTGCTAAGAATGTAACATTGTGTCCTGACTGGAGGTTTGTCATCATTTTGCTTAATTAAATAACATTCTCCAAGGCATAGGGTTGTAATTGTTTCCTCCCTTTCTTATGCCCATTAGTTCAAATCCTCACCTTTATTTATAAAACATGATAGATTTTTTCCCCCTCTTACTGCTGCTGCCACCATGGAAGATATTTCTTGTTCTTTGGTTTTCATCATATTAGAACAGATTCTCATTAAACTTTATGGCAATTACTTGTACAGCATTTTCAGGACTCATCTTTTCTCTTTAGCTGGCAAGATTCTTATCTTGGGCAATTTTCTCTGGAAGAGATTTTGATCATGTAATTTTAAAATTCCAGAAAATGAAGAGGGAGAAAATTATTATTATAAAGTTTTTCTTTTTAAACCAAGCAGCTGGCTTCATTATCATTTTTCCCTTGAGTGTATGTTGATGTAAATAGTAAGGTTTTGCATTCAAGAAAGTAATAGTTTTATATACAAGGTTCATCAGAGAAATAAAGGATAATAGTATCACTATCATGGGCATATTCATCTATAAATCCATGAGTGAGGGTGGGGACCCCAAATCTGACCTATATAAGTGTTTTATTCCACTTGGGATGAATTTCTTTGAACAAATTAAAAATCAAAATCTTGGGGAACGAAATTTTATTTATTAAGTTTTGTATAAAACAGAAGAGTTATTTTGTTCAAGGTAGAAGGTACAAAGATAATACCTAATAATAACGGTAAATATTTATGTGTCTGACCCTGTGCCCACTGTTTTATATGCACTATTCTAAAATCTCCATGATTCAGATATTATTGTTATGATCTCCTTTTTATAGTTGAGGTGACCAAAACTTGTAGATTGCTGAAAGCCCCATGCCTTTTAGTAGGCAGAATTGGGACTGCAACCTTTAACTGTCCAACCATTAGATCTTAACTACCTGTCTACCCAGAATTAGAGAGGGGATTCTAGGGAGCCAGCAAAGTTGGGAACTAGAAACCTTCTCTATGGTGTTATCCAATTAGAGAATGAGCTGAAAGGGGGTTACCAAAGAATCAGTTTGAGTTATTTTATTTGGGGAAGAGTCTAGAGATAGTAGTTATTTCATAAGGGGTAAGCACTCTAGGTTAAATTTTTCTAATCCAGGAATCTTTCACAAATAGTAACACCATGCATATTGCTACCTCAGGGCCTTTGCACTAGCTGTTCCCTGTGCCTGAATGTTCTTCACTAAGATATCAACATGGCAAACTCCTTTACCTCCTGGAAGTCTGGTCAAATGTCAACTCCTCAATAATCCTAACCTGACCATTTAAAGATTGGAAACTCCTAAACTTAGAACTTCTAATCCCCCTTGCTTTGCTTTTTTTTTTTTTCATAGCACTTAACACTTTTTAACACCCTTCTTAATTGACAACTATTATATCTATTGTTTACTGTTTTTCCCCACTATAATATAAGCATTCCAAGGGAAGGGATATTTGTCTGTTTTGTTCACTGATGGAACCCAAGGTCCTAGAAGTGTTCCTGGCACATAGTAGACACTCAATAAATTTAGTCTGATAAATAAATCGGAAAGATGCATTCCCAGGAATTATAAAGAAGCAACTGGGAAATAGGGGAAGTCAAGCATAGATCTTGACCTGAGAAGCTCAGAGATTTCAAGAATGTCACAGCAAAAAGCCTTTCCTTGGTTGGATTCTTCACTACCCACGCACCACACCTGTAGAAACAAACATACACATCCCTTCCCTTGCAAGGCAAGGACATTAAGGTATATTAGAGGAAACAATTCATTTTGGAGAAATTGCATCTATGTTTCTCTGGGAAAATGAACATAAAAGTTGTCTTCTCTGCTCTATAACTTAATTGTAACATGCGTAGTTGCTCTGGTAATCCATGTTGGCCTGCACACCAAATGAACTAAGTGGGGAGAGATGGAGAACAAAGAACTAGAAATAGCGTTCTTATCAGGAAAGCACCATCACTGTGAATTTATTGGCTCTTCCAAAGCAAAGTGTAATTTCTTTCACTCTCCATAGCTCTGAATGACTCTTCCAGCCAATACCATTGATTGCACCTTAATGCACAATGTAGAGCATCTGATAAAGACATCTGGGAGCTAACTGGGTTATAAGAAGGTATTAAGAGTTTGAAAGTAAAGTAAACCCAAGAGCTTTGGCCAGCAGGTGGTGAAAGACAAATGAGAAAAAGGTTAGAAGGGAAACAGGGTTCATCATGTTAGTTTTCAAACCGGATTTTGAGATTAGCATTAACAGAAAGCAGATACCCCGGTGAAAATAGAGCACCACCTACAGCAGGTGCAAGAGCATCTGAAAAATCTTAATTGAAAGTTACCAGCAACAGGTTTTCAACCACTTAGAACGGGGATCAACAAACCGTAGCCTCTAGGCCAAATCTGGCTCGCCATCTGTTTGTGTATGGTCCATGAGCTAAGAATGTTTTTAATATTTTTAACTGGTTAAATAACAAAAGAAGATTAATATTTTGTAACACATGAAAATTACATGAAATTCAGATTTTAGTGTCCATAAGTAAAGTTTTGCTGGAACACAGCTACACTCATTCATTCCTGTATTGTCTATGACTACTTTTGTGCTACATTAATACAGTTGACCCTTAAGGAACATAGGTTTGAACTGTTCTGGACCACCTATGTGCAGATTTTTTTTCAACCAAATGCCAAATGAAAATATAGTATTCTTGGGATGAGAAACCCAGTTATATGGAGGGCCAACTTTTCATACAGGCAGGTTCTGCAGGGTCAACTGCAGGACTTGAGTAGGCATGGGTTTTGTATAGCTGGAGATCTAGACCCAATCCCTCATGGATTTTGAGGGATGACTGTAGAGTGGAGTATTTATGACACCGTATGGACCACAAAGTCTAAAATATTTAATAAAATAGTAATATCTGCCCTTTACCAAAAATGTTTACTTACTCCTGACTTAGAACTTAAGTTACTCTGCTGTTTTTGTAGTAGAGATGCAATATGGTTTCTTTCCTCCAGATAAATTTTTAAATAAAATAAATCTTACTATAATATATTTATACCATAAAAACACAATACATCTTACATTTTTCTAATTTCACTGCTGCACAGCCTTGTTAAATGTCTCTCATCTTGAAAACAGCTCATCAGCTGGGAGCCACATATCTGGTGATGAATAATAAGTATTATTCATTAACTTAAGTAAGATTCCAATTTTATTGAGTTTTCCTTCAAATTGTTTTCAATTTAATAAAACTGAACTACACCTAATAGAGAATTAAATGTCTGCATTTGCTGAAAAGTCAAAGCTGCTTTTTCTTCTAGACTTTCATTAGATTGTGCTGGAATATTTTTTAAGGCAGCAAGGGGTATATGTGCTATAAGACCTCTTTCAAATGAATTTAAACTTCTTGGATCATTACGGTGGGAGCAGAAGAAAGTGGTAATGAGGATGCAGCAGTCAAAGGAGTTCAGCCTTGTTTGTGGCTGTAAGTACACCTGAATGTTTCCATCTCTACCAGCTTGTGAGGACAAATATGGTTCTATTAATATAGAGTACAAATATGGTTCTATTAATACTGGATTCCCCTTAGCTCCCAGCTTCCATGTGCTTATAAGGAAATGTCAGTGCCTTGCACATTTCCCCTCTCCAGGCACTTTGGGTGTCCTCAGGGATATCTTGCTGGTGCCCATTTATCAGGCTCAGTCTTGGCTTGCTGTGGCTTCCAGACAAATGGGGTCTCACAATGCACATGTCCTAAATCTCCTAGGAGGGCTGTGCAGTGATGTTATTACACCAGGTGTAGCTGTCTCTGTCACCTCAGTGTTGCTAAGCTAGAGATTTGCTGTCCCTCTGGAACTTTCCATGACCGTGCCAGCCCTGACAGCCCTGTAGAGGTGTGTCATTGCTGCTCTCATGAGACAGATTTGCAGCTGCTGCTTCCAAAGGCTCATACCTGTGGAACACTTAATGTCAGTATCTAAGATGAAAAGGAGACTCAATCTGGGGCTGTCCCATAGCAAGCCTTCTTACAAACTAATGTGCCACAGAGTTTATGGAACCAGCATGTTCCACTCACACTCATGGCCCTTCCGCCTTTCCAGGTTCATCATACTACAAGTGTGGATGAGATCCCCCAGAAAGCTAAAACTATTCTCTTCTCCCACCCTCGGGCCAAGTTCTTGAATCTGGCTGTTTGTTCTAGAGTTCATCCTTATCTTCATTTCCTGGAAACTGGTCAGCCCTCCCTGCAATCCAGCCTTCTCTTAAGCCTCTGCAGTGTGTTGAATTCATCTAACTATCTATCTATCTATCTATCTATCTATCTATCTATCTATCTATCTCTCTATCTATCTAAACTCAAGTTGCAGTTAAGGTTAAGTATTCCTCCCTCCCACTTCCTAGTCCTCAAGTAAATATGAAAATACAAATGAATAAACATGGTGCACGTTGGGGGGTCCGGGGACACATTCTAGTTTCCATACTCTAGTATATAAAACTTTGAAAGCTGACCCAGTCAGGGACCCACGTTACAGAAAATTAAAAGATTTTTTATGAATTGAAATCTTGATTGTAGTCTATTATGAGTAAAATTATACATAACTTTTTATAAAAGTCCTATATTTTAAGAAAATGATATGGATAATACATGCCTTTATGATGCTTTTGATAGTTGTTTTCAAGTGGATGAAAATGATGTATTTAGTATGGTATTATTTTCATTCACTCATTGAAAAAATACTGGTTGTACATCTACTCACTGCCAGGCACTGAGGATACTGGGAATACAAGAGGTCTCTGCCCAGATGGATCTCAAATTCCAGTGGGGGTAATGAACGAGTAAACAAATACATACATAATTTTCAGGTTAAGATTTTCATAAAGCAAATTAAAGCAGGGTAAAGGGATAGAGAGTGACAGCTGGAGAACGCTGTTATAAAGGTTGGAGAAGGAAGGCTTCAGTAAGGAACTAACTTTGGAGCCAAGACTTAAAGGAAGAAAAAAAAATGAGCCTTTTGCTGGCCTTAGAGAAGACGTGCAGAAGGAAAGTGTGTGAAAAGGCACTAGGAATAGGTTAGGAAAGAAGATGAATGGAGTTTCTAGGCCAGCACAGATGATCATTCCTTCAGGTCAACCTTCAATCTCAATCACACCCTCCTCCCTCTTTCCCTTTCAGAGAGTTTAAGCATGCTGCCTGAAACTAATCCAAGTGGTTCCTGCTACCCAACCCCCAGACACATACAAATAACCATTTATGAAGATGTACTATGCTCCAGGTATTTGTACATAAGACATTCACAATATTTAAAATGATTCTTTGGAGGTGGGCATTTTTATCCCCATTTTAGGGAAATCAAGTGACTTGTCCAAGACCACACAACTAGTAAGTAGCAAAATAGGGGGTTGAATTCAAGTATGTTGAGCTCCAAAGTCTGGGCTATTTCCACCATTTTACAAAGTTTTCAGTCTTGTCCTACCTCAACCTCTTTCCTCATATTACTTGTCTTCTACTAGATGTGTTCTGAGGCTTAAATAAAGACCCCTTTGACAGGAATAAGGAGGATGAGAAGAGAAGGCTTCTGAGGCAAGGAGCTGGGAAGGTTCCAGGCAGTTGTATTGATTCCACGAGTTTCTGGAAACCCCATTCCAGGCCCTAAGGGTGATCACATAGTGGGGAACCTTGCAGGAAGAAGCAAGGAAGGTCATCTGCCTCACTGGCCTCTTGGTATACTGGAGTTTGAGGGTCTGGAGAGTGGATATCTTATGTCCCACAAAGAAAATTTCTCTGGGGCAGGCAAGTTATGATGGAAGAGGGCCTGTGCAGTTGAATACCCTATAGACTTCCCACCTCTGCAGATCAGGTTCTTTATGACATTGATTCTATCATCCTCACTGCAGCACTTACGGGGGTCAATAGCTGAGAGTGTTCCATCTGCTGCAGTGAGTCCGCCAGGACCAGTGAATTCAGTGCCCTGAGCTTGGACCAGCAACTCTTCTACACAGGCAGAGGAGTGATCCTCCCACATAAAGTGTCATAGACATAGCAGGAGTAAGGGGCCTTTTCTTTCAGATTCTCAATAGGGAGATTTTATGGTTATGCAGGTCCAGACTCCTCAGGGATTGTGGTTGTTGGATAGAATCCAATATTCTCTTATGTGAATCCCCTTTAGGCCAATGGGCGGCACTTTCCCTATTACCTTCCTGAAAACAGGAATCCATTTTATGTTTGTAAAATACCAATCATGCTCTTGAAGTCTCTCATGTCTTCTGCCTCCAAATGGGAATCCTAATTAGTTATGTACTCATTATTCAATGAATGTAATTGTTCACAAATCCAATTGTTTACTCATTACTCCTTTATTCCCATGTCCTTTGGGCCATCCCATTTAACTATCTAGCACAGAGAATGTAATACAACAGTTCTTATCATTTGCACAGGGATGTTCAGTACTATAGGGGAAGAAAAATCGCACATTTGTGAAGATGAATGCAAGGGTAAGGTAACTGCTATGATGAAACACCCCCAAATTTTAACAGCTTACCATAATAAAAATTAGTGTCTCATTCATACTAGAGAACAAAATGTATATTATCACTCAGATGACTCTCCTAGGAGTTTCCACTCCAAATGTTAACTCGGAAACCCAGGCTCCTGCTGTGTTGTGGCTCCTCCTTCTTCTAAGTCCTTGGAGTCATCTCTATTCAACCATTGAATGGAGAGAGAAAAGCCATATTTGTGAGGATTGTGGACGCAGAATCAGGAAATGTGGTTATATCCCTTCTGTATATTCTTTTTGGTCTACACACAATCATTTGGCTGCACTGTAGGCTGGAAAATTCAGCCCAGCTGGCTACCCTATAGGAAAAGAAAGTGACTTGGTGTACAACTGGCCATCAACCATAAATCTGTGGTCTCCTAAGTCAACTGAGATGTTACCTTCCCAGCATTCTATGTTACCCTAGCCAGCTCTTTCTCTTACTTAAGTTATTTCAAGTCTTAGTGTTTCCCAAATTTCTGACGCTACCATATTTCCCATTATTCTTTTTAAACTAAAATATTTCAGACTACGAAAAAAAGTCTTTTAGAAAATACTCAGAAAAAAGCAATAAAGATACAACAATAAAATAATAACACAGAATAACAATGACATAGCGTTTACATTGTATTAAGTATTATAAGCAATCTAGCAATGATTTAAAGTATATGGGAGGATGTGCATAGGTTATTTGCAAACATTGTGCCATTTTCTATAAGGAACTTGAGCTTCCTTGGATTTTGGTATCTATGGAGATCTTAAAACCAGTCCCTCTCAGATACCAAGGAATGACTGTAATACAAAGACAAGTGAATCTTTTCAGATATCTTTCCCTGATTCACCTTTCTTTCTTAGGAAATGATCTTGTCTCTTATTTAGCAACAAATAAATAAATGAAAGCCCACCATATTGTAATACCCCAATGTTCTGCAAACAATAATACAAGTTTCCCACTTCCATCACCATTCCTCCTGTTTTCTGTTGCCGCCAACAAGCAATGTCTCCCTTCTCCTTAGCCTACTCCCACCACTTGCTCTCTCTCTTCCCTATGATCAGAGACTTCACTCTTATCCCCTCTCTCTGTATATTCACTCTCTTCCTTCTATTTAACATTTAATTATCTTCAAGTCTCTTCCAACTTCCTACAAATACAAAAGCAAAACCCCATGGCTCTATTTGATCTCTTCTCTGTCTGCAGGCTCACTTTCCCCTTCATAAAAACTCTTTGTGAAATGGCTGTCCACACTTACTGCCTCCATATCCTCACCTACCACTTATACTTTAACCCACTTTAATTTGGATTTCATCCCACTGCTCCAGGAAACCAATTCTATCCCAGGCTATTGTGACCATAAGCTCAAGTCAATGGCTATTTCTCAGTTCTTATCCTCTTTGTATGCTCAGCACATTTGATCCCATAGACCTCCCTGTTCTTCTTGAAACACTCTCTTTCCATGGCTTTCATGAAACTGTGTTCTGCTTTTTCTCCTATCAATGTCCAGATCTTTTTCAGTATACTTGTCTTCTATAACTCCATAAATGACAATATTTCTTAATTGTTGTTTTCTAGATCATCTTCTCTTCTCCTTTTATATATTTTTCTTCAGTAACCTTATACACTTCTTTGGATTCTTCCTTTTTCCCCCAAATGTCATTTTCTACTGGATCTTTGTCAGCACCGAGCTCAAATCTCTCCTACAAAAACCAAACAAAAAAAATGAACAACACAATCCACAACAAAAAAATCTCTGTCCACCCTTGCTGTGCCCTCCATCTCCTTTGCCATCCCTTCTCCTTAGCCAAATGTCTTGTTAATTGTCCATACATGTACCTCCACTTCTTTACCTGCCACTTTTTCCTCAGCCCATTCTACCATACTGGCTCCTGCTCTCATCACTTCAACATCCCTCTCATATCTCTGATTGTTCCATCTATGTTCCTTTCTGGGCTCATCTCAAATTATCTACTCTTTAAACATTGGGTTCTTAGAGGTTTGGTTCCAGGAATCCCTTTTTTTTCTATCAAGCTCTTCCTGCCCTTGGCTTCAGTTACTGTTTATATCCTGATGATATACAAGTTTATTAAATGTCCAGTAATATATCTTTTTTAGCCCCAAACTTGAATATCCAATTTCCCCCTCAGCTCTTCCACCTGGATATTTTAAATATTCTCCAATTCAATATTTGAAATTCTCATATTTTGTGTTTTTCTTTCTAAATCTGTATTTAGTTCCTTGGTGTTTCCTCTTTGAATGAATGGAATTATTCATTGATTCAAATATGCAAACCAATCCCTCTTCCCAAATTATTCTCAATAATGTCTCATCCATTTCTCTTTCCCTCTAATCTGTCTTGTGGTCTTGTCAGTTCTGCCTTCCAAATATCTTCCAAATCTTCATATCTATAACACTCCTCTATATATAGCTCATAACAGTTTTCCTTCCCTTGCTGCGATCCCTCCAAAATGAGTCCCATGCGAGACTGACTTTAGAGACCTTTAAACTAGATGCACCATTCCTAGAACATTCTCTGTTTCTACCTCATCCCTCACTTATGACCTTGAAAACTTTCTCATAATCCTGATCTCAGCTTTAGCATCCTTTTTTTTTTTTTTTTCAGGGAATACTTCCTTGATTACTTAGACTGGATCAAATCTCTTTGTTACATACTCTTATGGCCTACTGCAATTTCTTTTGCAGTACTTAAGACAGTATATTTTTATTTGTGTGATTAGTTGACCAATGTTGCATTTTCTCCACCAAATTATACAGCCTGGTCTGTATTACTAACCGCCATATTCTTGGCATGTAGTACAACACATGACACATATCAGGTACTCAGTAAATGTTCAAGTACCAACTGTATGCTGTCAATTCCCAAAACTATCTCTGACCCAAGTCATTCTCCTAAGCTTCAGATCAGTATGACAAAAACTCTTTACAGGGCATCTTTTACTATGTATCTCACTGGCATCTCAAACTTAAGAAATATCAAACCGTGCTTATCATCTCCTCCACCCCATCCAAATCTCATTTTCCTCTGGGTTTCTGTCCTCTAAACCTTTCATTTGCCCAAATCAGACATCAACTATCACCTCTGGCCTTTTCTCCATCATATCTCACTTCTGATAAAGGACCAAGTCCTACTCATTCTGTCTCCCAAAAATGTTTCCAATCTGTTCATTTCTACTCAACCTTATGGTCCCTAATATACTCTAGTTCAGGATATTATCATTGCTCACCTGGATAATAACAAAAGCTACATTACTGACCTCCCTCCTTCTGGCCTTGTGTTCCTCATAGACATTAACTTCCATAAACAGTAATCTGCCTAAAATAAAAATCTGATCATACATCTACTTTAAACCCCTAGATAGTTCCCTATCATGTAATAAGACTTATAACTCTGAAGGATCCAGTTCTTGCTTGGCTCCCCATTATCACCTTTCATCCTTTCTTCCTTTATACTCTATTCTTCATTCATCTTAAACCACTTCATTTTATTGAATGTTCCCTGCTCTCTTATAGCTCCAGATCTTCTGCATTGTACTGCCACATAACAAATCATTCCAAAGCTTAGTGTCTGTATTAGTCTGTTCTCATACTGCTGTGAAGAAATACCCAAGACGGGGTAATCTATAAAGAAAAATAGGTTTAATGGGCTCACAGTTCCACATGGCTGGGGAGGCCTCACAATCATGGTGGAAGGTGAAGGAGGAGCAAAAGCACGTCTTACGTGGTAGCAGGCAAGAGAATGTGTGCAGAGGAACAGCCCTTTATAAAACAATCAGATCTTGTGAGACTTATTCACTATCACAAGAACAGCATGGGAAAACATGTCCCCATGATTCAATTACCTCCCACCAGGTCCCTCCCACGACACATGGGGATTATGGGAACTACGATTCAAAATAAGATTTAGGTGGGGACATACCATCATGGAGTGGGATGGACAGCCAAACCATACCATCCCACTCCATGACCCCTCCCAAATCTCAGGTCCTCATATTTGAAAACATAATAATGTCTTCCCAACAGTCCCCCAACATCTTAACTCATTCCATCATTAACGGCAAAGTCCAAGTCCAAAGTCTCATCTGAGATAAGGCAGGTCCCTTCCACCTATGAGCCTGTAAAATCAAAAGCAAGTTAGTTACTTCCTAGATACAATGGGGGTACAAGCATTGAATAAATTCACCCATTGCAAGTGGGAGAAATTGACCAAAACAAAGGGGCTACCAGCCCCGTCCAAGTCTGAAATACAATAGGGCAATCATTAAACCTTAAAGTTACAAGATGATCTTCTTTGACTCCATGTCTCATATCGAGGGCATGCTGATGCAAGGGGTGGGCTCCCATGGCCTTGGGCAGCTCCCCTCTGTGGCTTTGCAGGGTACAGCTCCCCTTCTGGCTGTTTTCTTGGGCTGGCATTGAGTGTCTGTGGCTTTTCAAGATGCATGGTGCACGCTGTCAGTGGATCTACCATTCTGAGGTCTGGAGGACAGTGCCCCTCTTCTCACAGCTCCACTAGGCAGTGCCCCAGTGGGGACTCTGTGTGGGGGCTCCAACCCCACATTTTTCTTCTGCACTGCCCTAGCAGAGGTTCTCTGTGAGGGCTGTGCTCCTGCAGCTAACTTTTGTCTGGACATCCAGGCATTTCCATACATCCTCTGAAATCTAGGTGGAGGTTCCCAAACCTCAATTCTCTACTTGTGCACCTGTAGGACCAACACCATGTGTAAACTGCCAAAGCTTGGGGCTTGCACCCTCTGAAGCAATGGCCTGAGCTGTACGTTGGCCTCTTTTAGCCATGGCTGGGATTCAGGGCACTAAGTTCTGAGCCTTTACAAAGCAACAAGGCCCTGGGCCTGGCCCACAAAACCATTTTTTCCTCCTAGCCCTCCCAGCTTGTGATGGGAGGGGCTGCCATGAAGACCTCTTGACATGCCCTGGAGATATTTTCCCCACTGTCTTGGCAATTATCATTTGGCTTATGCAAATTTATTTATGCAAATTTCTGCAGCCAGATTGAATTTCTCCTTAGAAAATGGATTTTTCTTTTCTATAGCATCATCAGGTTGCAAATTTTCTGAGCTTTTATGCTCTGCTTCCCTTTTAAACATAACTTACAATGCCAAACCATATCTTTGGAAAGAATAAAACTGAAGGCTTTTAAGAGCACCCAAGTCACGTCTTGAAGGCTTTGCTGTTTAGGAATTTCTTTTGCCAGATACCCTAAATCATCTCTCTCAAGTTCAAAGTTCCACAGATCTCTAGGGCAGAGACAAAATGCCACCAGTCTCTTTGCTAAAGCATAGCAAGAATCACCTTTGCTCCAGTTCCCAAGAAGTTCATCATCTCCACCTGAGATCACCTCAGCCTGGACTTCATTCCACAAGTCTCTAGGAAGCTCCAAACTTTCCCACATCTTCTCGTTTTCTTCTGAGCCCTCCAAACAGAATCCTCTGTGTGTTACTGAGTACCAAAGTCGCTTCCATATTTTTGGGTATCTTAATAGCCATACCCTACTCTACCAGTACCAATTTACTGTATTAGTCCATTTTCATACTGCTATGAAGAAATACCTGAGACTGGATAATTTATAAAGAAAAAGAGGTTTAATGGATTCACAGTTATGCATGGCTGGGGAGGCCTCACAATTGGGGCAGAAGGTGAAGGAAGAACAAAGACATGTCTTACATGGTGGCAGGCAAGAGAGCGTGTACAGGGAAACTGCCCTTTTTATAAAACCATCAGATCTCATGAGACTTATTCACTATCACGAAAACAGCATGGGAAAAACCCGCCCCCGTGATTCAATTACCTCCCACTGGAGGTTTTAAATCCCCATGACACGTGGGAATTATAGGAACTACAATTCAAAATGAAATTTGGGTGGGGACACAGTCAAACAATATCAGTGTCTTATGATAACAATTATTTATTACTTCCCATAAACCTATGGGTCAGCTGAGAGATTCTGCTGATATGGGCCAGATTCATCCAATCTCCATTAGACTAGCCCATATGCCTTTACTCAGTTGGCAGGCCAGTTGGGGTCTGGCTGGTCTAGCATGGTCTAACATGGCCTCACTGGGCATGCTATGGCTGTCCTCCACATGGTCTCTCATCCTGCAATAGGTAGGCCCTGGCTTATTTTCATGGTGGTGATAGAGTTCAAAGAAAGAGAGTGGAAGCGTGGAAAATCTCTTGATGCCTAAGCATGGAACTGACATAGGATCACTTCTGTAGCATTCTATAGGACAAAGCAAATCAGAAAATCAGCCCAGGACCAAGGAATTGGAAAAGGACCCCACTGCTTTATGGAAGGAAATACAAATTCACATTGTAGAGGCATGGATACATAAATAGATGGAGAACTGGGACCTTTTGCAATCAGTTTACCATGCCATCTCTTATATTCCTTTTGTATAGAATATCTGTAGCCCAATCCTTTTTTTTAAATAACTGATAATCACCCTTCTGGTCTCAATTTAGATGTTACTTCTGGGCAATCTTAGACTCATCTCGTTATCTCCCCTTGGACTCTGTTCATTATAGCACATACATTAAATACCTGACTACTTATCTTATTCTTCAATTCAAACGGGTCCTTGAAGACAGAGACTATGTCTTATTTGGCTATCTCCTAGAACAGTACCTGGCAACACCAGAGGCTCTTTTAAGGAAAATTTAAATTTAAAATTCATAATAAAAATCGATCAAGCAGGAGTTCAATAAGTAAGCATAAATCTAAAATGCACAATAAAATCAATCAATATCAATATATACTTCCCCTGTCACTTAAATCTCTGATTAAGGATAAAACAGCAGCAAATATCTCCACCAACTCTCTTTTCTCCATATGTTTTCCTCTCTTTTTTCTTCAGTAGAATCAAGGGAGAAAGATTTGAACTTCACTGTGTGATTCTATTCATATAGAGTGGTCATAAAAATGTAAATACAAGAATAATGGGCACAAATCTACCTTATTTTCTTAGTGGGGCAGAAGTATTTATTTCAAGCTCCTCTTTTACTACACTGTTCTCTACTCATCACCTATCTGATAAGAAGCATCTCATGGCTTTATCTATAAATTACTTTTTCCCAGGGCCCAGTAATTTTCATCACTAGTCTCACATCTTCTACAAATCCTCGATGTCTCATGACAGAGCTAAATTTGGTATTCATGGTACAGTCTCTAGAGCAGTAAGGCACAAGATGACTCCAACTTCCCTCACTCGACTGGCTTCCTTTCTGCCATCTTATCACATTTATTTCCAAGATATTATTGACTTTTCTTAATCTCCTCTCTCGTGTTTTAATTTACTTTCCTCTTACTTGCCATAGCTGCTTCCTTAACCACATCACACCTCACTCCATACAGATTCTTACCTTTCACTGTTTTCTGCTGTTAGGACATGGAAATTGACAATGTTCTAGTCATATTTCTTTTGCTCTTCCATCCGCATTTTTTTATCTTGCAAATTATCATTATTTTAATTATTGGATTCAATAGGAGATGCTAATCTCCCATCCCCCTATAATTCATTTTAATAGCAAGTTGTGATGACATGGTCACTTTTCTCTTTCATATCTTTAAGCCCATCATTAAACCCTTTAAATCCAAGGCCAAACCCATGATATTAACCTTTAAGGTGAATATCATCATCCTTTCCCAATATGTACCCACTTCTGTGGTTTCTATCATTGTCATGGTAACATATTTTCTTGACCTTTTTCAAACTTCCCCTGAAGTTAACTACCATTTATTACAAAAGAGGGAATTAGTAATGAGGATAAGCCATACAAAAAATATTCCTTGGAGACTCCTTATGAAGAACATTAGAGTTAGGCAACTAGGGCTGTGATTCAGAAAGATAACCCTTGGTTTCTCAAAGTGACAAGCTCTAAATGAACCCCAATTGCCAGCCAGTAGCAGATTCAGTATGCATAAGTCATGACAAAGTAACCCTATTTACATTTTTGACAGGTTTCTGAGTCCAGGACTTCAGTGAGACATTTACAAAGCTTTTGGGGTAGCCTTGTGAACCATGTATGAGGAAGAATGTGGATGGAATGATCTTATGGCTGCATGAATATGTGGATGGCTAATCATTACTACACAAAGAACCTTGATTAATAGGGCTAATAAACTTTTTATATAAAGGACCAGGTAGTAAATATTTTAGGCTTTGTGGGTAGAACTACTCAAGTCTGCCATTATAACCCAAAAGCAGCCATAGACAATATATATAGGAATGAATTTAACAGTGTTCTAATATAATTTTATTTATAAAAATAGGCAGTGGGCTGGATTTGGCCCATGGGCCATAGTTTGTTGACCTTTGTCTTAGGGTCTAAGCTACCAGGGGGTATGGCTATCTCATGCAACTTTTAGTCACCTGTACAGCATACAAATTCAAAACCTCCAAACTGCAACTTCATTGTTGTCTTTAATATCTGGAACCCACTGCACTGTGTTAGTGTTCACAACTGCTGACACACCTATGTTCACATGCAGAAACTAAATCACCATGGAGAAGTTTTCTTATATTCTAACTAGTATCATATATCCTCAGAGAGAGAAGAAGCATTGAGTCCTTTTACTATGGAAATCAGTGCAGATTAAGAATTAATGTACACATAGATGAGCTCATAAAAACATAAGAAAATAGCAGTTAATTAGAAATTAATGCTAAAATGCTAAAATTCTTAGATTGAAGCAACTACATCACACTTGAATTGTTAATATAGCAATTAAGTTGGCCGCCTATGAAGTACTTGTTAATAAATACTTCATGAAGACTTCTGTTAAAGGAGAGTACAGCAGCTTTGTTAAATCTAAGTTTATATGGTCTTGAAAAATGTACTCAATGTGTTCTTTTTGGAAGCTTTAGTCATGGTGGCTTCTTGAAAGAATTCTTGCTACAGATTAATTTCTTTTTTTATTTTTTATTTTATTTTCTTATTTTTTTACCCTTTACCCAGTTTTTGCCAATGGTAACACCTTGTGAAACTATAGAATGACAGCACTCCCGGGATATTGGCATTGATATTACAAGATGCAGAATATGTAAATCAACACAACGATCAGTCATGTTACTCTTTCTAGCCACACACACTTCCCTCCCACCTCCACACCCTCGTTAACTTCTGGAAATCACTAGTTTGTTCTTCATTTTGTTATTTTTTAAAGAATGTTACATATATGGAATTGTACAGCATATAACTTTCGATGGTTAGCTTTTTTTTACCAGCATAATTCTCCAGCAGTTCCTCTGGGTTGTTGGTGTGTAAATAACTCATTCATTATGTTTTCCTAAATTATAATTTTTTGTATACATATGTAACAAACCTACATGTGTTCACAGGTACCCTAGAACTTAAAGTGTAATAAAAAATAATAATAATAAAAAGATTAATTTCAAATATGTTTTCTTTTCTGAAACTAAGGCTCAATACAAAAAGATTCTCAAAATGTAGTTTGAGGAATAGCAGCATCAACATTATCAGGGAACTTGTTAGAAATGTCAGTTCTTATGCTTCATTCCAGACTTACTGAATCAGACACCCTAAGGTGAGGCCCAGAAATCTGTGTTTTAACAGCTTTTCCAGTTATTCTGATGCAGCTCAAGTTTGAGAACAACTGACTTACAACACTGAGGATTAATTGCAAGCAAGGTTCAGCTGTGTGTGTCCTAGATCGTGTGCATGGAATCTGCACATTGGAATTATTTGGGGTGATTCATAAATACTGATGCCTGTATTCCATTCCAGAGACTTTGATTTAATTGTTCATGGGTTTGGCCTGGGATTTAAAATGTCTAGAAATTTCGCAGGTGATTCTAGCCTGCAGACAACATTTAGTAAACACTGCGGTAGAGGAAGCCATACTCCAACCGAAACATGGTAGGAAAAACCCTATGTTTGATGACATAGGAATGAACGTCTGCTTCTTAGTTCCCTTTCAGGTTACATTTAGCTCTATTTTGGTTGAAAAGTGTTTTGTTTGTTGTGTTTGCCTTTGTAAAAATCTTAAGGTCTTAATAGTAACAGCTTAGATGTGCTCTTTGTGATACCGAAGAGCGATACATAATTGTATGGATACGTGTAATGTTTTGGCTACATTAAATGTAGATTCTTTACACACACACACACACACACACACACACACACACTTATCTGTTGTGCTGAAAGCCCACAGTGGCATGTGCACCATGCCGTTTGCATTAGTAGATGAAATCCTATAGATGTAAAGAAGGTCCGTTCTATATATTGAAAGATAACGTTATGAAATGAAAAATAAAGAACAAAATGATAAACAAACACATCAACATCTTAAAGGATTTTGAAACTATACTAAAACAACTTGGGTCAAAGAACAAAAAATCATCAACTGTAGAACATCTAAAAATAATGATAATGCGAATTATCTACATGGGATATGGATATTGTTTCCAGATGATAAGTCACTTATTAAACCAACAAAAATAAAATTAACAAATTTAGCAGTTAACTTAGGAAGTAAATAACAAGAAATATAAGCCCAAGGAAAGCAGAATAAATATATTACTCAAATAAAAAGACATGAATAAATAAAATTCAGAAAAAATGTGTTTTCTTTAAACATTAGGAAAATATAGAAGAACCCCTAACTAGTCTAGTTATGAAAAAGATAAATCTCAGCAAACAAAATTAGGAATAATATAAGACCATCATATACACAGAGGAAATAGAAAAGAATTATAAAAATACTCTACATACTTCCATGGTAGCAATTTTTAAAACTTGGATAAAGTGAAAGGATTTCTAGGAATACATATTTAAAAATATATCCAGAAAGAAGCAGAAAACTTAAACAGACCAATAACTATAGAAGAAAAAAACGCTTTACAGGTACATTTTTCCGAGTCTTTAAATTTGAGATATTCCTAAACAATTAAGACAGTTCCAGGGAATAGAGAAAAAAAGGAACTTTTTTTTTGCTTTTTGTTTTGTTTTGTTTGTTTGTTTTTTATTATACTTTAAGTTCTAGAGTACATGTGCACAACGTGCACGTTTGTTACATAGGTATACATGTGCCATGTTGGTTTGTTGCACCCATCAACTCGTCATTTACATTAGGTATTTCTCCTAATGCTATCCCTCCCCCAGTCCCCCACCTCCTGACAGGCCCCAGTGTGTGATGTTCCCTGCCCCATGTCCAGCTGTTCTCATTAGGAACATTTTATTTTTTTACAAAGTCAGAAGCTAGAGTAATGCTGACAAGCATACCTGACTTTCAGAAAGATTTTCATTGACTGGGATGAGAAAGAGCAAAAGGGAGAGGAATGAGAGAGGGAGACAAACTGATGATTTCACAAGGACTTCACAAAATTGATCTTAGGAAAGGTAAATTTTATTCGCTCAAATGTGAGGCCAGGAAACATCCTTGAGCCTTCTGGAGCTTTCCATTATCCAGAGATGAATGGCCTCACAGAATTATTTCCCTGATTCTAAATCTCCATTGACTATATGTTTTAGTCCATTCTGCACTGCTATAACAGAATACCTGAGAGTGGATAATTTATAATCAATAGCAATTTGTTTGGCTCATGGTTGTAGAGGTTGGGAAGGCCAACATACTGAGGAAATGCATCTGATGAGGGCCTTCTTGCTGATCCATAACATGGTGGAAGGTATCATATAACACATGCACGAGAGAGAGAGAGAGAGAGAGAGAAGAAGAGAAGAGAAGAGAAAGGAAGGGAACGGGGGGCGAACTCATCCTTTTATCAGGAACACACTCCTGTGATAATGGTACTAGTTCCTTCATGATGGTAGAGCCCTCATGACCTGATCGCCTCTTAAAGAACCCACCTCTCAACACTGTTGCCAACACATAAACTTTGGGAGACACATCAAAACCATCACACTATATAACCATCAATTTAACTATAGATACTATAAAAGTAAATCAAACTATATTTGATGTGCCTAAAACAAAAAACACATATTCATATACTTATGTGTAATTTTCTTTTCAGTATCACAAGATTGTGTCAAGCCTTTTTCACACTGCAGAGTCAAAAAATTCCTGGGACTCACTGTCATGGGTGATGGGCTGCATTTCAAAATTTGAGCTGCTGAACCTGACTTCTCCACTAGCTTTAGGATGACAGTACGTTAGGAGGGATATCTAAGAAAACCAGGGCTGTACCTGTGTTTTTTATTTGGTAAACCATGGTGATATGGTTTGGCTGTGTCCCCACTCCAACCTCATCTTGAATTCCCATGTGTTGTGGGAGGGACCTGGTGGGATGTGATTGAATCATGGGGGCAGGTCTTTCCTGTGCTGTTCTTGTGATAGTGAATAGGTCTCACGAGATCTGATGGCTTTAGAAAGGGGAATTTCCCTGCACAAGCTCTCTTTGCCTGCTGCCATCCACGTAAGATGTGACTTGCTCCTCCTTGCTTTCTGCCGTGATTGTGAGGCCTCCCCAGCCATGTGGAACTGTAAATCCAATAAAGCTATTTCTTTTGTAAATTGCCCAGTCTTGGGTACCTCAGCCATAAGTCATGTTGATAGCCTATACTCTTGATATGATGTAATGGGAATGGCATCTCTGTGGTATTCCTCCCCAAAACTCATAACCCTTGTCTAATCATGAGCATGAACATGGACTAATACACCTAGTTTGATTTTTTGATCAAATCACGTATTGCTGGAAGAGATTCATCTTCCCTCGAAAGTCAGCCAGAATCTTCGGACCAATGGCTTTTTGGTGCCTGGGTAATAGTCCCTTGTCATATGTGTGTTAACCACACCAACCAGTCCTGGATTTCAGAATCTTCTGGCCTTTTCCAGGATATCTGATTTATACTGCCTTTGATTGCCTGTCTTGATATTTTACCAGAAATCTTATATTGAACAATAACTTCTTTTTCCAATGCAGAATAAGAGTAGAATATTTTTAAAAACCATTTTAAAAGACAATTGCCAAAATCTTGGTTTGTATTACCATTCAAAAGGAACTAGGGCTCCTTGGTGAAATGATTGATTCTAGGCCTGTGGCTATAAATATACAAGGCATGCCTGGAGCATCTTGTAGTGACAGAAAGAAAGAAAATGCTCAAAACAATTTAAAAAACCCACAACTATTGGGGTATGTCAAGGGACATAAGAGTCAACTGAAAGACCCCCCTAGTGGACAAAGCTGGAAAATTTGAGCAATAAAATAAAGTAGTATAGGAGTATAACCCAGTACATAAAATAAATATCCAGGAGGCAATATATATATAAATAAATGATTAAATAACGAATTAATGACATAAATAGAGAAGAGACAAATCTACTGTGCTGACAAATTTCAAATAATTTATGTAGATACTCTTCCCTCATGGAGGTGGAGCATTACTCCCCACTTTTAATGTGTGGGATGTGCATAGTGACTTCGTTTCAAAGAGTACAGTACAAAAAAGGTGGAGTAAGTAACTTTATGGTGGAGACATCTGACAAACACTACCTCAGTCAGGTAATTAAGGTTAACCTCAGCCATAAGTCATGTTGATAGCCTGTACTCTTGATATGATGTGATGAGAATGGCATCTCTGTGGTATGCCTTCCCAAAACTCATAACGCTTGTCTCATCATGAGACAAACATCAGACAAATTCTAATAGAGGGTCATTCTACAAATAGCTGACCAGTCTTCCTTAAAACTGTCAAGATCATCAAAAACAATGAAAATCTGAGAAACTGTCAAAATCAAGAAGAATCTAAAAATATATGACAACTAAATATAATGTGGTATTCTGGATGGGATTCTGGAAAAGAAAAAAGAACATTAGGAAAACTAAGAAAATATGAATAAAATATTAACTTCAGTAATAATAATATATCAATATTCATTAATTAATTGTGACAAATATACCAAACCACTGCCAGATATTAATAATAGGGGAAACTTGGTCTGGAGTAGACAGAAACTTTGTATTATATTTACAACTTTTCTATAAATGTAAAATAATTTTAAAACAAAACATTTAAAAGAAATAAAAGAAAGATAAGAAAGTAAACATAAATTAAAATGTAATTGTGGGTAGCACTTTTAAAGCAAATATCTCAATGAAGGTGGCCATCAGATAAATAGATTTCTTTAATACATATCTACATTTAAATAGTAAGACAATAACAACTCAGTCAGTATTTTTTCTCTCTTCTAATATAAATTTTTAAAATGCATATTTCAGAAATATTAAAATCTGAAAAAGTCTAGTTAGAATATCAGATAATTGATTCATTTTAGTGCTTATGTTGAATTATAGTTTATAATAGAAAAACATCTATTTATATTGCCTCCAAAGCTGTGACCTCCTCAAGAGTAGAAATTAGTCTTATTTGTCTGTCTTCACAACACCCAGAAACACAGGTGCTTGACTGTGTTTGAAGTACGGTATGTGTGGTTGAATGCATGTTGAAATTAATTCATTGATTGATTAATAAGCGTTCAACTCTGTCAACCAGGGTGATTATAAAGATGGAGAGGGAGCAGTAAAGGGAACAAACACACAAACTCACAAACACACAGCAGAAATTCTGTCTCAGCCAGCTATTTTCTCAGAGCCCTTTATTCATGTAAGTGGTTTTAGCTAGTTCTTATAGGTGTGTTGTTTAAGTTGAAGCATCCTGATGTCAAATTGACTATCATATGATTATTCTTTTGAGTGATTTTTTATTGACACATAATATTTTACATATTTATGGATTACATGCATAGAGTGTGCAAGTCAGATATTTTTGGTATCCATCAGCTTGAGTATGTATCATTTCTTTTTTTTAATTTTTTTTATTATACTTTAAGTTCTAGGGCACATGTGCACAACGTGCAGGTTTGTTACATATGTATACATGTGTCATGTTGGTGTGCTGTACCCATTAACTCATCATTTACATTAGGTATATCTCCTAATGCTATCCCTCCCCCCCCTCCCCCCACCCCACGACAGGCCCCGGTGTGTGATGTTCCCCTTCCTGTGTCCAAGTGTCCTCATTGTTCAATTCCCAACTATGAGTGAGAACATGCAGTGTTTGGTTTTTTGACCTTGAGATAGTTTTCTGAGAATGATGGTTTCCAGCTTCATCCATGTCCCTACAAAGGACGTGAACTCATCCTTTTTTATGGCTGCATAGTATTCCATGGTGTATATGTGCCACATTTTCTTAATCCAGTCTATCATTGATGGACATTTGGGTTGGTTCCAAGTCTTTGCTATCATCACCTTGAGTATGTATCATTTCTATGTGTTGGGAACAATTCAAAGTCCTCTCTTCTAGCTACTTTGAAATATAAAATACATCATTGTTAACTATAGTCACCCTACTCTGCTGTTGAACATTAGAACTTATGCCTTCTATCTAAATGTATGTTTGTACCCATTAACCAACTTCTCTACATCCTCCCTCCTCTCACATACCTTCCCTAGCCTCTGATATCTGTCATTCTACTCTCTGCCTCCATGAGATCAACTTTTTAGCTTCCATATATGAGTGAGAACATTTGATATTTATCTTTCTGTGCCTGGCCTATTTCACTTAACATAATAACCCCCAGTTCCATCCATGTTTTACAAATGACATGATTTCATTCCTTTTTATAGCTGAATAGTATTCCATGTGTGTATATACCACTTTTTCTTTATCCATTCATCCACTGATGGACACTTGATTCCACATCTTTGCTATTTTGAACAGTGCTACAATAAACATGAAAGTGCACATATTCCTTTAATAAACTGATTTCTTTTCATTTTGATGAATACCACGTAGTGGCATTGTTGGGTCATATTGTAGTTTTATTTTTATTTATTTATTTATTTATTTATTTTTTTGAGATGGAGTCTTGCACTGTCACCCAGGCTGGAGTGCAGTGGCGCGATCTCGACTCACTGCAAGCTCCGCCTCCTGGGTTCACGCCATTCTCCTGCCTCAGCCTCCCAAGTAGCTGGGACTGCAGGCACCCACCACCATGCTCAGCTAATTTTTTTGTACTTTTAGTAGAGACAGGGTTTCACCATGTTAGCCAGGATGGTCTCGATCTCCTGACCTCGTGATCCGCCCCCCTCGTCCTCCCAAAGTGCTGGGATTACAGGCGTGAGCCACTGCGCCTGGCCTCATTTTTAGTTTTTTGAGAAATCTTCATACTGTTTTTCCGTGGTGGTTGTACTGATTTATATTTCCACCAACAGTGTGTAGGAGTTCTTTTTATCTGTATCCTCACTGAATTCTGTTATTTTTTGTCTTTTTAATAATAGCCATTCTCAGATAAGATGATATCTCATTGTGGTTTTGATTTGCAATTTCCTGATTATTAGTGATGTTGAGCATTTTTTCATATAACTGTTGGCCATTTGTGTGTCTTCTTTTGAGAAATGTCTATTCTTGTCCTTTGCCCACTTTTAAATAGAATAATTTGTTTTGTTCCTGTTGAGTTGTTTGAGTTACTTTTATGGTTTAGATATTAGTTGTTTGTCAGTTGAATAGTTTGTAAAAATGTTCTGTCATTCAACAGGTTGTCTCCTCACTTTGCTGATTGTTTCCTTTGCTGTGTAAAATCATTTTAGTTTAATATAGTCTCATTTGTGTATTTTAGTTTTTCTTGCCAGTGCTTTTGAGGTCTTAGCCATAAAATATTTGCTTAGACCAGTGTCCTGAAGTATTTTTCCTGTAATTTTTTCTATTAATTTTATAGGTTTGGACTTCACATTTAAGTATTTAATCCATCTTGAGTTGGTTTTTTTATAGGGTGAGTGATAGGGGGCCCGTTTCATTCTTATGCATGTGGCTATCCAGTTTTCCCAGCGCCATTCATTGAAGAGGCTATCCTTTCTCCAGCGTATGTTCTTGGCACCATTGTCAAAAATCAGTTGGCTGTAAGTATGTACATTTATTTTGGGGTTCTTTATTTTCTTCCATTGATCTATATATCTGCTTTTATACCAATACTATGCTGTCGTGGCCATGATAGCCTTTTAATATATTTTGAAGTCGAGTAGTGTGATGCCTCCAGCTTTGTCTTTTTTGCTCAGGATTGTTTTGCTTATTTGGGCTTTTTTTTCATTCCATATGCATTTTTGGAATTTTTTTCTATTTCTGTGAAAAATGATGTTGATATTTTAATGGAGATTGCGTTGAATTTGTAGATTGCTTTGGGCAGTATGGTCATTTTAATAACATTATTTCTTCCTTTCCATGAGCACAAAATGTTTTTCTATTTGTGTCCTCTTCAGTTTATTTCATCAGTGTTTTGTAGTTTTCCTTGTAGAAGCCTTTCACCTCCTTAGTTAAATGGGATTCACTTCTTGATTTCTTTCTCAGCTAATTCATTATTGGTGTATAGAAAATCTACTAATTTTTGTATGTTGATTTTGAATCCTGCAACTTCACTAAATTTATTTATCAGCTCTAAGAGTTTTTTGGTCAAATATTTAGGCCTTTCTAGATATAAGATTGTATCACCTGCAAAGAGGGACAATTTGACTTCTTTTCCAACTTGTATGCCTATTATTTCTTTCTCTTGCCTGAATACTCTGGCCAGGACTTCCAGTACTATGCTGAATAGGAGTGGTGAAAGTGGATACCTTTGTCTTGTTTTAGTTCTTAGAAGACAAAGCTTTAGCTTTTCCCCATTTAGTATGATGTTAGCTGTGGGTTTGTTGTATATAGACTTTATTCTTTTTGAAGCATGTTCCATCTATCACTACTTTGTTGAGAGTTTTTATCATGAAAGAATGTGAAATTTTATTGAATGCTTTTTCTATGTCTATTAAGCCACTTTCACCACTGTTATTCAACATAGTACTGGAAGTCCTAATTACAGCAATCAGACAAAAGAAAGAAATATAAAGCATCCAAATTAGAAAAGAGGAAGTCAAATTATCCTTGTTTGAAGAAGATAAGATCGTAAGTTTAGAAAAACCTAAAGTCTACACCAAAAAAACTATTAGAACTGATAAACAAATTCAGTAAAGTTGCAGGATACAAAATCTGCATACAAAAATCAATAATATTTCTATATGCCAACGTGAACAATCTGAAAAAGAAATCAAGAAAGCAATCCCATTTACAATAGCTACAAATAAAATAAAATGCCAATTAACTCAATCAAAGAAATGAAAGTTCTTTACAATAAAAACTGTAAAACATTGATGCAATAAATTGAAGAAGTCACAAAAATATGGAAAGATATACCATGGTCACGTATTAGAATAATCAATATTGTTAAGACAGCCGTACTATCTAAATCAATCTACAGATTAAATGCAATCCCTATGAAAATACCAATGTCATTATTCACAGAAATAGAAAAAAACAATCCTAAAATGTATATGGAGCCAGAAAATACCCACAATGCCCAAAGCTACCCTAAGCAAAAAGAACAAAACTGGAGTAATCACATTACCAGACTTCAAATTATACTACAATGCTATAATAATCAAAACAGCATGGTACTGACATAAAAACAGACACATGGATCAGTGGAACAGAAAAAAGAATGCAGAGATAAAGCCATATATCTACAGTGAACTCATTTTGACAAAGTTCACAAGAACATATGTTGGGTAAAGGACAGTATCTTCAATAAATGGTGCTGGGAAAACTGGATATTTATATGCAAAGGGATGAAACTAGACCCCCTATCTCTGCCATATACAAAAACCAAACCAAAATTGATTAAAAGCTTAAATCTCAGGCCTCAATCTATGAAACTACTACTAGAAAACATTGGGGGAAATCTCTAGGACATTGGTTTGGGCAAATATTTCTTGAGTAATACCCCACAAGCACAGGCAACCAAAGAAAAAATGGACAAATGGGATCACATCACATTAAAAAGCTTCTGCACAGCAGAGGAAACAATCAACAAAGTAAAAAGACAGCTCACAGAATGGGAGAAAATATTTGCAAAGTACCCATCTGACAAGGGATTAATAACCAGAATATATAAGAAACTCAAACAACTCTATAGGAAAAAGTCTGATAACCCCATCAAAATGGGCAAAAGATCTTGACTAGACATTTCTCAAAAGAAGACATGCAAATGGCAAGCAGGCATATGAAAAGGTGCTCAACATCATTGAACATCAGTGAAATACAATCAAAACTACAATAAGATATCATTTCACCCAAATTAAAATGGCTTTTATCCAAAAGTCAGGCAATAACAAATGCTGGTGAGGATGTGGAGAAAAGAGAACCCTGGTATACTATTAGTAGGAATGTAAATATTGCAACCACTATGAAGAGCAGTTTGGAAGTTCCTCAAAAAATTAAAAATAAAGCTACCATATGATCCAGCAATCCCACTCCTGGAAATATACCCCAAAGGAAGGAAATCAGTATGTTGAAGAGATATCTGCACTCCCATGTTTGTTGCAGCACTGTTCACAATAGCCAAGATTTGGAAGCAACCTAAGTGTCCATCGACTGATCAATGGATCAAGAAAATGTGGTACATATACACAAGGGAGTAGTATTCATCCATAAAAAAGAACAAGATTCAGTCATTTGCAACAACATGGTTGGAACTGGAGATAACTATGTTAAGTGAAATAAGCCAGGCACAGAAAGACAAACATTGCATGTTCTCACTTGTTTGTGGGATCTAAGAATCAAAACAGTTGAACTCATGGACATAGAGAGTAGAGGGATGGTTATCAGAGACTGGGAAGGATAGCGGAGGGGCTGGTGGGAAGGTGGGGATGGTTAGTGGGTACAAAAAAATAGAAAGAATGAATAAAACCTGCTATTTGATAGTACAACAGGGTGACTATAGTCAATAATAACTTAATTGTATGTTTTAACATAAAATAAAAGGAAATGCATTATAGAGTAGAGATTCTCAAACTTTAATATGGCTATGAATCATATTGATCTTACTAACATGCATATTTGGATTTTCTGAGATTCTGCATTGAAAATATTAGCTCCCAGTTGATGCTGATGTTACCAATCTGTGGACAATACTCTAGTATTAATATTCTATAAATTCTTACAGTACACATGAATACTGTACAGCTTCACTAGTTTCAAGGCAGCAGCATAGAATTATGGATCGAAGACTCCGAAGTCGCACAAATATGCTTCAAGTCTTAGCTCTGGGCTTCTCAATATGACCTTGGCCAAGGTTTTCTGTCCCGGCTTCAGTTTTCTTATTTATAAAATTGGGCAAAATGGTGCCAACTCTGGGATATTATTGTGGGGACTGAATGATATAACAAAAGCAGCGTACTTACCACAGTACCTGGCACATAACCCTCAAAAATGGTCAGCTTCATGTTATAACTGCAAATCAGCATTCTATGTGGGAACATGAAGAGTGTCGTTATGGATGGCTCACTTGTGTCACAGCTAGACACTCAGATGGTCACTGCCAGTAGGCATTACTTCTGAACTGCAAGTGGTACAGAGATGTTGAGAAGAAATCAGGACAGACCTGACAGTTTAGGCACAAAGATGAAGTGGGCCTCTGTCAAACAGAAGAGCAAAAGCTAGGAAGAGGGGACTGGCATGGCTTTGTAGTGTCTTGCATGCCATTTTGCAAGTAAAGAAAGGCACATGACTCCCAGCTGCTCGCTGTTTTGTGGTCTGTGGGCTGTGTAACATAGGAAATGGGGAACAGAATCACTGCAGAAGCAGAATGTGCTTAGAGGTGGAAAATGTGGAAATGCAGAAGCAGGAGGGAACCCATCCTGTTACTACTCTTCTCTGTCCCCTTTGTGCTTAGTAACCACCCCCAAGAATGCACCCTTAAGACTCATGCTGGATTTAATCCTGGCAAGTGTATGATCAAAAAACCCCACAGTCCCCAGAGACAGCATTAAAAAGGACCCCGTGGCCTTAACGTGTCTCCTTTGATTCCAAACAAAGGAGCCATATCAACAGGAAACGCTATTGTTTTCTCTCAGTAGGGATGGCTGAAAGTAGCAGCTGTTGTATAAGCCAGCATGCCAACAAAGGGACACAGGGACACATCTTGGAGCTACGAAAGACAGGAAAACAGCAAATGGCATTAATTCTATTTCATCCAAGAGCAAGTGCAGATGGCCTGGAGAGGCAAGGTGACACTCTGGGCAGCAGAATGGAGATGGAGGGGTTGGGGAGAAAGCCATCTATCAAAAACATTGCACCCGTAAGTCCTTTGTGGCCTCCAATAAGAGCAAAGTCATTGTCAGAGGAGGGGTAAAGCTAAAGCAGACCTGAGTAAAATGAGTTTGTTTTTAACTTGTGAAAGAAACTTGACATAGAGAAGGACACATTTTGCAAATTAGCTACAACAGCTCTCACAACACAAAGGCGGAAGGGAACATGAAATTTAGTTCAGCTGGTTATAACTCAGTCCCTTTGCTTTTTAACAAATTCCATTGAGATTAATGTTTTAATCATCTAAGAACAATGTGTGTGCTGCTGTCTTAAAATGAAATTTGTGTATACTTACAACTTATTCATTCATTCAACCAACCTCATTTCCAGCTTCCTTTACTGTTACATGTGGACAAAGAATGTGGTTCTTGCCAAAGGAACTTGAGCAGAAGGAATGTGCTCCAGGCCTGGCCCATAAAATCCTCCCTTGCAGTTCTGCTCTCTTCATTTGACTACAGAACAGAATATATTAGTAGGACCTTCTAGAAGTCTGAGCTATAAGACAGGAGACTGAGCCCTTAAATGGTTGAAAGGAGAAAGCCCAAATGCCCACCTGACCTCATGGCCCCATTATGTGTGTGAGAAATAAATATTTACTGTGTTAAGCCATTTAAACTGGAGTGCCGTGTGCTACAACAGCCAGTCTACCCAGATTAACATGTATGTATAATGCAATGGGAGCATAGAGGATGGACTACCTTAGTCTGCCTTAGTCCCAGGGAATATGGGAAGGCATTGCAGATGTGAAAACACTCAGCAAAGTAGAAGAAGGACTGCAAGTTTACTTACCAGACAAGGGCAGGAGAAAATTTTTGGATGAGGCAAAAGCAAAATCAAGGATAAGAGCTCACTAACAGAGTGGGTTATTTGGGAAACCATGTTTCAGTATGGTTGGAGTCTTAAATGTTAGGGAGGACTGGAGGGGCATGTATACCATTTATTAGAACAGTGTGGGGAACTATGGCCTGTGGGCCAAATCTGGCCTACTGCTTGTTTTTGCACAGCTGGAAATTAATAATAGTTTTATACTTTTAAAAGGCTGAAAAAAATCAAAAGAAGAATATTTTGTGGCACATGAATATTATATGAAATTCAAATTTCACTGCCAGTAAATTAAGTTTTATTGGAATACAGCCATGTTCATTCATTTACGTACTTTCTATGGCTGCCTTTGCACTACAATGGTAGAGATGAGTAGTTGTGGCAGAAACCATAGGGCCTACAAAGCCTAAATATTTACTATCTCTCTCTTTCCAAAAATGTTTGCCAACCTCTGCTTTAGAGCCCTAACTTTATCCCATGTGATAAACTCCATTATTATTCCCATTCTTCACTTCTTGAATCCGTACTCAGTCATGTGACTTTAAATTTCATACCACTGGGTGAAGTGTATTCTTCTGCTTCATTCATGTTGGGCTTGGCCATGCCACTTGTTTTGGTCAATGGAATAAGGGAGAAAGTGATAGTGCACTGATTCCAAGCGTTTCCAATAAAAGAGATCACATGTTTTGCTTTTCCCATTTGTTTTTCTACCAATCTCATGAGAAGGACATGTCCTTCATATCATCAGAAAGAAAGGAATGTGGAGCAGAGCTACCGCAACTGAACTGCAGACCTAAAGTCTGAAGCAGAGCCACCTCAGCTAATTCTCAGACCTATTAGACTATTAATAGTTAATGCTTCTTATATGCCAGTGAGCTTTGAAATTGTTTGTTAAGCAGCAATAGCTGACTGACACATCATGTAGCTACTGAGGAGAGGAAATTACCAGATGCAAGTCCAGACACACTCCCTTATAACTAAATGTTAAAGAATATTAGCGAGTTAAAGTTGCCAAGACCTAATGCTAAAGGCATTTATATTAAGCATATAGAAGCCTAGTTTGAAAACAAAATTAGAGTGAACTCAGAAAGAAAATTCTTGGTTCTTTCTCCTTTTTTTGAAATCTGAATAAAGCCTCTGACATTCCCTCCCCAAAGTTAAGTGGTCCTATGTTCACATGGAAAGTTTCCTTTTCTTTCTTTTATTGTAGCTCATCTTTGTTTTGGCATACCTCTGCTATGTCTTCAATTTTTATGACCTTCAATAGCCCTCTATAGTAGGATATGCCTCTCTCCATAGTCTGACCTGTATAATTTGGAAGCTTGAGGATCTCTAATTCACCCATCCCAGGGAATTCCGGAATACAAATCATTTTATCAAATGTCTGAGAAAGGAGCTGAGGTAAAACACAAAAAATGTCCTTTTCAGGTTTCTTGGTTAATGCCTGTGTGAGTTGTCATGGTGACTGGGGAAGGGATGGAGATCGGAGAAGAGATTAGAGAATATATTGTCATATTGGGACCTATAAAGCCTTTGTGAACATTTGCTTCTTGGAAATTAACTCAGGAAATTGCATCATTCACTGACGTGGTTCTCTGAATATCACAAGGTCAATAAAATCTCAACATTCTATGAACTGGGATGATTTCTTCTTTTTCTTATTCCAGAGTCTTAGACTTCATGGCTAGGAGAAAAAGCATCCTGGGCATGGTAACATTAAAATGTAAACATTTGAAATGTGCGTATTTGTTTATTAAATTGAAGCCTCCCACTTCCCTCTTCCAGTTGCCAGCCGTGTTTTCACCACCAAAATAAAACAAGTAAGAGAAGTAGACACACAAAGCCCCAGTAATTCTCAGAGCAATTAATCACAATCTCTGGGGGAGTGAGATGCAGGCATCAATATCATTTGAAGTTCCTAGATTATTCCAATGTGCAGACAAGTTTAAGAACCACTGTTCTAAACCTCATTCTTGGTAAACTTGCATTCTGCACATTACAGGGGCACCAAGAGGCAAATAATCACCCCATTATAAGAGGGTAGGGGCATTTAGTACAAACTGGCAAGTGTATCCATTAAGATATTTTCAGTTTCAAAGTAACAGAAAATCCAACTCAAACCTTTTCACATGACAAAAAATGTTTAGAGTCTCATATAAATGAAAAGTTCAATAGTAGTATTCTTTTTGTCTCTCTATGCTTCCACCCATGGCATTATCGCTGGTGCTTCTAGGGGAGATTTCCATAAGCATCTGGTGCTATATGCTTTCCCTTCACGTTCAGCCCCAAGAGAGAAAGCTTTCTTTCCCTCAACTACTAGACAATGTCTGGCCTATGCTTTGATTGAATCAATATAGGCTCTCCCATTTACATATTAACCAATTACTAGCCAACTAGCTAGGAAACTCTTTTTTACTCTTGACTTAGAGGTACATTACAACATATTTCTGAACCAGTTACTGGGACAAGCAATGGTTTAGGCCAATTAGGATTCACCACTAGAGATGAGAGGCAGGATAATTCCACCCACAAAGCAGGCAACCCCATAATGGGATAGGAGTAGGTCCTGTTAGAAAGGGAGAAGTATGTAATAGCTACTGATTAGGCAATCAACAAATATCCAGGAAACAACAATGGAGATAAAGCAGAAGATGCTTTAGATAATTTTGTGGTTCCTCATTAGTAGCAGAGTAGAACTGGATTCCTCCTAGGAAGAGAAGGTCCTTCATACTTTCTTTTCCCCAAGTCATGAGCCATGCAAACAAGATGATAAATGTCACCAATGTCTGATCATTCTCAAAGTTTCGAATGTCTTCTGTCTTCTATACCATTCTAGAAAAGGAGGAGCAACCCAGGTGCTTTCTACCTAGTCATCCAGGATGTTCTAAGAAGTTAGGAACTCCTCATTCATGGGCTCAAAGGGGCAGATTCTACTTTCTAAACTTAAAAGAAATGGCTACTCTTTAGCCCATTAGGAAGACATCAAGTTGCTCTCTAAATGCACTCAGCAATTCCCAAGTCTCAATAGGAGAAGATAGCAGCTACTCTCATTGTTTGATTAGAGTAGCCCCCTGAAGAGTATGAAATTCAAAATCATGAGATATTAGTCTCTTGGTTGAGGTAGGCACCAGTCAAAATGCCAATACTCTTTGAATTTATCAGGTAAATAATTAACATCTATTCATCCTTTAGCGTTAACTTGTAAATCAGAAAGTCAATCCAGGAGCCTCCTAAAGGGGTTAAAGAGGAGGTGGTGAAGGAGGGGTTTGGTAGGATACTGAAGACAACCTGTACCAAGAGAACAAAAATCTCCATCTTCACATCTTGGTCTATTTATAGTCTCTTTCTGATGAAATGATGTGTCAGATCCTCTGGTATGCTGTTCTTAGACTTTAATGTTCTACAAATCCCTGGGGGCTTTGTAAAAATTCAGAATCTGATTCAGCAGGTCAGGAGTCAGTTCTGAGATTCTGCCTTTCTAAGAAGCGCTGAGGTTATGCTGCTGCTGCTGTTTTGCAAATGACACTTTGAGTAGGAGTCCAGAATATACCATTGTGCTATAAAGATATTTTGAGCAAAAGACATTTGAGCTCCTGAAATCTCTTATCTGCCTAAAAGCAGAACCTCTTGAACTCAAAAGAACTCAATTTTTGTAAATACCCTCCTTGGGAGCAACAGGGAAGATTGACTCATCACCTGAGAGAAGTCAGCACCACACCTAAGCAGATATTGTCACAAAATTATATCTCCCATCTATTCTCCTAAAAGTCCATTTACCTTTCCTGAAAGCCATTTTCCTGTATATGCCCTTCTCCCCCTCCCTTTTCCCTGTTAAAAGGAGGTAGTGTGGAGTTGGGTATGAGATGGTACATAAGCCCCAAATTACAAATGCCTCCTTGAGTCACATTTTTCTATGGACTCCCATATGTACATATGTGAATAAAATCTGTCTTTTCTCTTGCTAATCTATTTCTTATCAGTTTAATTTGCAGACCCCCAGTCAAAAAAATCTAAGAAGGTGGAGAAATATTTTTAACTCCCTGGCAGTTTGGTGACAAAGATGGAATGGATGGTTGGGACTCTGCTGTCTCTGGAGACTACAGCTGAGATTTCGGGATCTCTGGCCCAGCTAGTGAAAGTAAACTTTTATGTTTATGTTAATTAACTTATTTTTAACCAATCAGACTCCCTGATCTCTGCTTAGTGTTGGGTGGAATGAAGGTGGTAAGAGCCTCTTCTTGTCTTTTCTTTCTCAATATAGATTGGAAGGAGAAAATACTTGAAAGAACTAGTTCTTTGGTTATTATGACTCTTGGGTGACTCAGTTTTGAGTATTTTCCCTCCCATTGGATAGTCATTTCTTTCCTGATTGTCTTGTTTTGTGTCCTGAGAGCTTGGTTTGGATCTAGTGAGAGTGTTCTCTCTCTGGTTTTCTTCCCTGTGGGTGTGGGAGGGCATAGGTTGTCAGGCCTGCACCTGCAGGTGACCAGCTGTCAGGTTGGGTGGCCATGAGAATTAGTAGTCAGTTGTGCAGATACATGGAAGTCTAGGCACTCCATTTGCTGCTGACGTTCTAGCGAACCATTGCCATCCCTCAGGGAGCTCATCTCTCTTTCCTTATTGCCTTGACTGCCTGTGGCAATGAGGGTTTTTGCTTTTTTTCTTTTTGACTATCTTTGGGAGTGAGTTTGGATCATAGGGACTGCATGTTCTTCAACTTCCTTGGGTACACCTCTTGCATCCATTGCTAAGCCATTTAAAAGGCTTATTGGTTTTGAGTTGAGAAAGGAGAAAAACACCTTTTATCCAAAAAACATGAGCCCATTTCAATTAGCAGGCCCAGAAAGGCATGTACAATGTAATAGCAGTCAAGTCTCACTACCCCTTGAGCTAAATAATCACTTCTTGAAGCCACTTGCTGTGTAGACTCTAGAATGACTTCCACGAGCCATAAAATGCCATATGCCCTATAGTTCAACAATGTATAGCCAATCAGGAACTAATGTTATTTCTGTAAACCAATGAACATTTTTTGATAAAGAACTTTTGTAATTGCTCCCTCCTCAGATTCATCATTTTTTAATTTAAAAACTTGAGCCTCTCTTTTGTTCTCTGGAGTACTCCCCAAGGCAAGCTGGAAGTGTGTCCCAGGCTGTAGTCCTCCACATTTGTGTTTGAATAAACTCTGTTTAAACTGCATTCTGACCCTTTTGATTATTTTAGGTTGACAGAGCCATATGTCAAAAGACAAAATTGCAACAAATTTAGTTTAAAAATCTTTATTTGCTTTTATTTGTGATTCTAGACTTGGATAACACCTCATTCTATAAAACAGAATGAGTATTCTGATGAGCTGAGCAGAGGAGTTTGACTTTATAGGTAGAAAGCTGAAGAAAGCAGAAACTGTAACTGCAGGACCAGCCCAAACGGGGCTTATTGTATTGATAACAAAATGTCAAGTTACCTTGTAGGTATAACAGAGCTGAAAACCGCATGCCATGTAGCCCAGGTATATGCAATGACCTCTAACTGTGCCAGGAACCGATTAATCCTCCCCTAAGCACCAAGAATACTGAGACATGACAGGAACCTGAATGCCTAAACTCTTTCAGAAGTGAGGAGTACGTTGGGCCAGAAGATCTGGGGCTAAAATCCTCAACACACCTTTCTGTAAATGGTCAAATTTAAAGCCCTTGGCCAGGTGTGGTGGCTCATGCCTGTAATCCCAGCACTTTGGGAGGCCGAGGCAGCTGGATCACTTGAGGTCAGGAGTTTCAAGACCAGCCTGGCCAACATGGCAAAATCCCGTCTCTACTAAAAATACAAAAATTAGCTGGGTGCGGTGGCACGCACCTGAAGTCCCAGCTACGTGGAGGCTGAGGTAGGAGAATCCCTTGAACCTGGGAGCCAGAGGTTGCAGTCAGCCGAAATGGTCCCACTGCACTCCACCCTGGGTGACAGAGTGAAACTCCATCTCAAAACAAACAAAAAAAAACCCACAAAATTTAAAGCCCTCCAATTAGACTTGCCAAGACAACATTCCTAACTCCTTTCCCTTGCCCTCTGAACCCATAAATTTGCCCCAGACCCCAAATTGGAGAGACTGCTCCTATTTCCTTCCTGATCAGTTTTGTAAATAAAGCCTTTCTTTTCTCAAAAGCCAATGCCACATAATATTGGCTTCTGTGAGCATCAAGAAACAAGCCCATTTGCTTGATAATAAAACAGAGAACAAAAAACAGATTGGTCATTTCAAAGTTATTTTTCTTACAGGGTTAAAACAGCAAAGACTTCCTTATTAGGGTGACTCAGGTTGACTAGAATCTTTTGTGTTCGGGGGAAATCTATCCTGTTTCAAAGTTCACTTTGATTACATGGCACTTAGAGATACAGGAGATAGAAAGAAATTGTTTAGACAGATAGTAAGGGCAATAGAGTCCTTGTTGGAATTTCCCTTCTAACAAAAAGCAGCCCTGAAATCATTTCTTTTCTAACAAAGACCAGCCTGAAAAATCGAGCTGCAGACATAGATAAGCAAGGTGGAAGCTTGCATGGGTGAATGTTGGCAGCTGTGTCAATAGAAAAGGGCTACCTGAGGGCCTGGAATGTTCAACATGGAGGCTCCATCTTCCCTTTTCTTTGTCACCACGTGTATAGTGTATAGCAAAGAACCAAGTAACATGGCACCAGCCAGGTAGAGAACTCATCTGCATAATAAAGGATTAGGGTGGGGGGATACCAGAAATTCACACCCTATGCAAATGGAACACCTAGTCCTAACCAGTTTTTCATGCCTTATGCAGATGGCACACCTGGTCCAACCAATCTTTTGTGCCCTATGTAAATCAGACACTGCCTCCTCAAGCTCATCTATAAAACCTGCTGCATTTCACTGCAGAAGCAGAAGACCCACTCTGAGGAGTCCTTCTCTCTGCAGGAGAGAGGGTTTTCCTTTCTTTTGCCTGTTAAACCTCCACTCTTTTTTTATTTTTTTTTATTTTTTTTATTTTTTGAGACAGACTCTCGCTTTGTTGCCAGGTTGGAGTGCAGTGGCGCGATCTTGGCTCACTGCAACCTCCACCTCCCGGGTTCAAGCGATTCCCCTGCCTCAGCCTCCTGAGTAGCTGGGACTACAGGTGCGCACCACCACGCCCAGCTAATTTTTGTATGTTTAGTAGAGACGGGGTTTCACCATGTTGGCCAGGATGGTCTCAATCTCTTGACCTCATGATCCACCCACCTTGGCCTCCCAAAGTGTTGGGATTACAGGCATGAGCCACCATGCCCGGCCTAAACCTCCACTCTTAACCTCACTCCTTGTGTGTCTGTGTCCTTGATTTCCTCAATATGAGACAACAAACCTCAAGTATTACATGACGCCACTTCATTAGCACAGGTGACTCCATCCTGATTTGGTCTAGTCTGCTGGGGCCTAGTGCAGGAGGCTTGTCCAAAACAATGGCCTTCCATAAACTTTGTTTCACACATATAAAAGCTTATTTGGTTTTGAGTCACATTTGAGAGTAGGTACACCTTTAGAAACCCTAAATATTTGGACTCTTGCTTTAAAACAAAAAATCAATAGTGCCAGGAGTATTTTGTTTGTCCCAGCCAAAACCTGATGAGAAGATACTCGAAAGGATTTTCAGAGAGCTCTCACCCTAAAACAAATGTCCTATTTTATTTTGCTGTAGAATACTCACCTAATTTTCCTGGGTTACTAGGGTTGGAGGTTAACCCGAGGGAAATTAGGAAATGGAGGTTAACTTATAAATCAAATAAGACATTGAAATTCAATAAATGTTATGTTTATTAAAGTTTGAACATGTCCAGCTGACACATTTCCTTCTGTCCCATTGTCTGGCCGGACATGTCCATCCACAATGAAATTTCGGAGTTTGTCTTGTACCCTCTAAGCCGTGTTACACTGTTAAATTTTCTAATTTAGTAATGTGGAGTTCCTGAATGTTCCTATTTACTAACTGGAGCCCTAAAGTTGAGAAAGAATAGCAGTGACTCAGTAAACTCTTTTACTAGGGTATCACATCCCCCCTTGGAATAAATGATCCATGCAATAAAAAGAAATGGACTGGGGGCATGGTGGATTGAGGTCAAGTACCTTACAGACTCCAGTGAAAGGAAAATGCATTGTAGAAACCTGAATTACCCCAAAAATTAACAGCAGGACTTCTAGTTTGCATAGCAAAATGGACATTCTGAATTAAACATTAACATCAAATTGTTCCGGTACTGGTGATGTAATATTCAAATAAATGAGTTTTAAATAAATCATGTTCTTCTTTAGAATGTTGCCTCCCTACTGCCACAGGCATTTTAGTCCAACTTGTCCTCTGTCTGGATCAAAAAGAATATTCGCATTTTTTAGGTAGCACAACAGAGGCTTCAGATTTCTCCAAGGGCCATTTCTAACAATAAGCACAGTTTAGTGGCTTCCTCTTATTCAGAGACTATAATCTGAATTTGAATTGGATTTCAATAAAGCAGCATTTGGAATGCAAATAGGAAAGTAATTAGGGTAATAAAAAAGGGTGTAAAAGTATATGATTCTTTAAATGCATCCTAAAACCCTTTGGTTTCAGGACCACTCCCCCCTTCCCCAAGCTGGAGCCTGTGCAGAATAAGTTGTGCTAATACAGAAAGCAAGAAAGTGATTAGTTGTTTTTAAAAAATACATCAGTTCCTCTAATGTTCTCTCAAAATAGCATGCTGATAATGTACAGATCTTTGCAATTAAATGGAAGGATAAAAGTAATGCACACATACTCATTCTAGAGAAATTTTTCCTGGGTGAATTAGCTGTCTTAGTCAATAAGCGTGAAACGTGGTAACACCGCCGGATAGTTCGCTGTGGGGTAGCTGATAACAGGATTCGGCCTTGCAATCTTCAAACACATAGAGAAGATGTAGTCTATTGTATTACTGTTCACAACTATTTACATATCTTTCTCCTCCATTGATTCTGGACTTGGCCAAATAACTTACTTTGGCCAATGGAATATGAGATAACTTGATGCAGACCAAGTTCAAGCAAAAGCTTTAAACATGATTGTGTGGTTCAGCTTGGCCCCTTTCTCTTTCTCTCTGCCAGAAAATGGGCAGATCCTACTTTATGTGCTCCTTAAGCTAGGGTACTAAAATGAGAAGACATGTGAGGCGAAGCAGAGCTGATCAGAGCTGAGCAATGCTACAATAGATGCAGCTGACCCCCAGTTAATTGGGAACTTCCAACATACAACCTGAGTGAGACACAATGTTTGTGGGTATGAGCCATTAAGCGCTTTGTGACTGTAACTACAAGCCAAACAATTTAACACAGAAATTGATATATAGAAAAGGCATGGTGCCACTGATTTTTCAAATCATTGCTCATACTTGGCAATTATATTCAGGATTCTACCTTTGGGCTCACAGAGAGATGGAGAAAAATGCCTTTTTCATAATGCTGTAAATCGAGCCTCTTACATGACTTCTTTAACCCACTGGACATCTGTAATAAGAGGTTCTTGGATTGTGATATATCTTATCCCAACTCTGAAAGTTCTGGAGACCTTTCTTAGGTTTGGGTTTTTTTTTGTTTTTTTTTTTCCCACATCAGGACATAAGTGCTTTTGAAGCTACTTGAAGAAAGAATGTCAGGAGAAGAATTACTGAGGAAAATTACTGTGTCTAATGTTTCTGGAATGTATTTACTGAGAAGAGCTACTTAAATAGAAAAACTTCATTGTCTAACTCATGCTTGGAGCTAGTTGGCAGAACATAAGCGTTGTAGGAGCAAGATGTAGGAATGTGAAAAAGGGGCTTATGGGCTAACAACCTCAGGACAAATGCCACACAAAGGCAGCATGAAGACCTGTGAGATTTGCAGGATTGAATGAACCACTGGAAAAGTAATCACTGCCTTGAAAAGTAGTGCAATCTGTTTACATATTTGCAACTTCCATGATATGAGCTACAGTTTAAGTAAACTATTCCTCAGAAGTACAAAGAAAATATAGCTTTACTTTTTGTCATTAATTTTTATTTAAACATATTTATGAATATACCATACATACATGTAATTTTTCCTATATGCATGAATGTGAATATAAACATATTTTTTAGGCCATAGTCAGCCAACTTTTTCTATAAAGGGCCAAAATATTTCCAGTTCTGTGGACCATAAGGTCTCTGTTGCAACTACTTAACTCTGCCATTGTAGTGCCAAAGTAGCTGTAGACAAACATAAATGAATGAGCATGGCTGTGTTTCAACAAAACTTTATTTGTAAAAACGGATGGTAGACTGGATTTGGCCTACAAGCGGCGGTTTTTCAGCACCTGTTTTATGTCTTATTTTCATTAGCTTTCACTGTTTACTTCTCCTCTCTCCCTCTCCTGCCCTTATAAGGGTCAGCTTCCTCTAATTCCACCCCCCACACACAACCCATATTAATAGCATGTGTGTCCTTCCATATTTTTCTTCATAAAACAGCTTACATTTTCTTTGTAAAATTCATAAACCCTTGACCCACTGGGCAATAGGGAGATAAGAACTTAAGTTGTAAATGAATGATTTTTTATTACTTAGCGTAAAAAGAAATCCTAGTTACTGTAACAAATTCCCTAATCTTGGTAGCTTTACCTAATAAAATGTTTAGCTCTTATGTATATGAAGTATGATGTAGGTGTTTATGACTCGTGGGCAGCCTTCCTAGGGTGACTCAGAGATCCAGGCTTCCTTCAACTGTGGCTCTGTCATCGCTTGCATCTTCAGAGTCCTAGCCTCTCTTGGATCTTCTGCACCCCACTGATAGGTAAGGGAAGAGATAATGTAAAGCATCGCATGGCAGCTTTTTATGAGCCAGGGCTAGAAATGGAGTACACTTCTGTCCACATTCAATTAGTCATATGGCTACATGTAACTATTAGGGATGTGGGAAATGTACCCATGTTGTGTGCCCAGTGATACATTCCAAGCTCTTAATATAGATAGTTTGGCAGACTGTTTTCCCTTCCAGTTTGACCAGTGGTTTGAACACTAGAATTCCACCCTCTCATGTAAGTCCTTCATGTCTTACCCATTCTTAAGAACCAGCTCAAATGTTATCTCTCTTCTATAGCCTTGCCACATGCTCCCCACAGAATTTATAGTTTTATTAATTCACTGCACTACTAGCTTCTTCATCTTTAGTCCTCACAACCTTCACATATGTCTCTTTATTTTAGACCTGGTTACAATATTTTACATCATTTTGCTCAGCTTTTAAGTTCTAGCTCCATGCTAATCTGTGCACTTAGTGAGGTCATTGTTAACGATTTTGTTAAAGTAATTCGATCTCACCCAGTCCTAACATACTGGCTGGTACAAAGCCTGGGCTTTGGGGCCACCTCTTTTGGTTGAATTGCTGGCTGTTCTTTAAAAAATTGCTCATATTCTTTGTGCCTTAGTTTCCTAGACTATAAAATGGAGATAATTAAATGAGCACTTACCTCATAGGGTTGTAAAGATCAAATGAGATGATATTTGTAAAGTCTTAGAACAGTGCCTAAAGTATAGTAAGCCCTAAAGTAAGTGCTTAATAAAATAAATATTTGTAATAAATGTATTTTACCTAACCAGATGAAGTCAACCAGGATTCTGCCCTCTCTGGTAGTAAGTATTTCACTATGTGGACCTGATCTTGAGAGAAGGCTTTCCCAGCTGCATTGCTCCCACCTATGGCCACTGCTCAATTGTTTCCTGCAGATCTAGTTCTACATATGGTGTCAAGATAAGCTGCAGTGTCCTTGTCAAGCTTTCTAAAAGGCAAGTGGCCTACAAACTAAATATCCTCTTAACTGAGTCTCACTTACTAAGAACAAATACAGTAAAAGACTAGTCCTGCATAGATAAGCTGATATACTCCATGCTGGTTGCCATAAGAAATGCTTCAGGTGATTAGATGTGTAAGAATAATTAAAATTTGGTGTGTGTGTGTGTGTGTATATGTGTATGGAAAATGAAGAAATCATATATGTGTACCCATGGAGGACATGTGACTGATTGTTCAGATGGCATAAATATTGATGCAAAGGCCAAGGCAATGGTAGAACTTAGTGCTAACAGGAAGGTAGAGAAGAGGGCTCAGAAACAGGAACAGTTCCTGTTGCATAAAGGCAAAAGGCATAAAATGGACACTCCATAATATAAAGCCTCTTCCTACATTACTTAACTACGTATCTCCCCCAACTAAATTCCCTACCTCCTAGTCAATAGAACATAGCCTGCCTTTGAATTTGCCCTCAACAGTCAGATAACTCATGGTCATGTGATTTAAACTGCAAATATATTTATCCTTTCTCACAGTGAGATGTCAGAATTATGTGGTGAGTTTGAAATAAACTCACCCTCAGGCAAGAATTCATATTACTCTTCCAGAAATCTTTTCTAATGATGTAATAAATTATCAATATTCTGATTTATTTGTAATAATATTAATTGTAGCCTTAAAGTAAATAAATAGAAAAGAAAACACTCAAATTATGGAACATTCATATTATAGGATTTTATGTAACCATATAATTCCTATTTTTAAAGCTCATTAAATGACAAAGAAATATATGATTATAATATATGTTGGGTTTTGTTATAAGGTTACAAAATGACTTGCATAATATAATCTTGATTTTATTGAAAATTATATATATCCATTGACACAAAGGTAAAAACTGAAAGGAAAAATATCAAAAAGTTAATATTATCTCTAGGTGTTATATTTACAGGTCACTTGCATTATCTTCTTACATTTGTTATGGTTTCTAAATGTTCTTAAATAAGCATATATTGCCTTTATATGCAGAAAAAAATACATTATAGCTAACATAATTTTGATTTTGACAAATCATGTCAAAACTATTAGGTTAGGAAATAGTGCTTTTGGGCAGCATTTCCCAGAGTGAGTTCCAGGATTCAGTTCCAAGGGATGCAGAGCTCATCAGAGCTACAGCAGCCACAGCCATCCCACAGTTAGTGACTTGTAAGGCGAACAGGAAATAAAGGTTTGTTCCTGTAAACCACTGTAAACTCAGGAGTTGCTTGTTACTACAAACAAAGGTAAGTCAGAAGACAACCTCAACAGTTCTGTGACCCTGTTAGTTCTGCTCTTTATTGTGAATTTTCTTTGAACAAAATTTCTGTAATGTTAGACTGAAAGACTTTGAAGATTACCCTTCATTTCATTTTTCAGATGGTAAACTGAGGCTCAAAGAGGTAAAGTAGCCTAAAGATAGAATGATTTAATTACAAAACCAAGATTGGAGTTCTTTTTGTCTAGAGCTCCTTCACTAGTTTTTTAGTGGGTGGGGTAACTGAGAAACTATTGGGAAGACCTTGTATGTTGGTGCCCAAAGCACTGCCCACCTAGATGCAGGTTTTTGTTTTTGTTTTTCATAGTATTGCCAAGCAGCCCAACTTCTGGTCTCCCTGATGTAGGTTACAGACCTGGAATCAGAAGCATGTCATGATGTCTAAACATAAATGTTTATGAAAAAAATTGGGGAACTTATTAAAAATCATTAAGTAACACCCAAACAAATGTTTATGGTTAGAAAGTCAAAATAATGTAAATATACCATTTCTATCCAAATTGATCTGTAGAATCAATGCAAGTTCAATAACTATCTTGACAGAGTTTTTAAAGAATTCAAAAATGTATATGGAAGAGAAAAGAGTCAGACTTGTCTATAAATTCATGAGGAAATGATAGGGTGGGCTTATTTGCTAAGGGAGATATCACTATATAATAAAGTCAAAGGTATAATAATTAGAACAATGAGGCATTCATGCAGAGATAGAAAAAAACAGACCAATGAAACAGGAGAGTCCAGAAAGAGATACAGAGACACCATTTCAAATCAGTGGAGAATGAATGAACTTCTTGATAAACAGTGCTCTGATAATTAATTATTCCATAAAAATGAATTTAGATCCTAATCACAGATCATCCAACAATCAGTTTTTATGTAGCTTTAAAACTTAACCAAAGAAAGCAAAATTTTGACATTTCTGGAAGAAAAGAGGTTAATATTTTTATGAGTTTTGAGTAGAAAAGAATTTTATAAACTATGCATACAAACTATTAATGAAATAATTGATAAATGTGACTACATTAAAAATTGTTTTTAAAAACTTCTGGTCTTTACAATATGACATGAAGAAATTGAAAAAGTAAGCCATAAACTATGAGGAAATATTTGCAACTTACATGACCAACAGAGAATTAGTATCCAAAATACAGTAAGAAATTAAAATCCATATAAAAAATAGAAGCAAACCAAGGAAAAATGGCCAAAAACATTTATAGAAATAAGAAACCTCCATGACCAATAAACGTATGAAAACATGCTTGATGTCATTACATGTCAGAGAAATTTAAAGAAAAAAATACAATGTCTCTTTATTCCACCAATGCTATTGACTGAATTGTGCCTCTTCCCTCCCAAATTGATATGTTGAAGCCCTAAATCTCAATGTGATTGTATTTGAAGTAAGAAAGTAATTAAGGTTAAATTAATTCATAATGTTAGGACCCTAATCCAATAGGATTTGTTTCCTTACAAGAAGAGATATAGGAGAGCTGGCACTCTCTTTCACTCTGCCATGTTAGGACACAGCAAGAAGGTGGCCATCTGCCATCCAGGAAGAGAGCCCTCACCAGAACCTGACCATGCCAGCAGCTTGACCTCAGACTTATAGCCTCCAGAATAGTGAGAAAATAAATTTTTGTTGTTTAAGCCACCTAGTCTATGATATTTTGTCATGGCAGCCCAAGGTATTAAAACAACCAGATAGGCGAAAATTTTTAAGTCTGACAATACCAAGTGATATGAATATGAGTCAAGGGAAAGCTTACACATTACTAGTGGAATTAAGAATCAGTACTTTGTTTTTTTAAGCTGTATATATTTAAGGTATGGAACATGATATCTGATAGAAATATACATAATGAAATGATAAGTCAATACTTTAGAAAACAATTTGGCATTACTTATTTTAAAGATAGTCTAACCTGCAACCCAGATATTCTACTTTTTGCTATTATCCTAGAGAATTTCTTCCATCTGCACACGGGAAACATAAAAATGTGTTTTGCCACATTTTTGTAATAGAAAAAATACAAACAAAACAAAACCAAGAATGGCAAAAACAACAAAATAATACAAATGCCTAGTATGGGAGAATGGTTAAGAGAATTCTGGAATAATAATAGACTGGAACATTAACAAGAGTGAAAATGAACAACGTGCTACTAAATGAATCAACATGGATTAATCATAAAAACATAACATTGAATAAGAAAGCAAATTGTAGAATAATAGTTGTAATATGATACCAATTTTAAGAACTTCAAAACCCAGCTTAATTGACCATTTGCATTTTATAAATGCATGTGTATGTTCACATGTGCCACAAAATTTTAAAGAGAAACAACATAATAATACAAACACTAAATTTGGATAATGATTACCTTAGGAGAAAAAGGAAGTAAGAGTCAGGATGGTTTAAACAGAGTACTTCAAATTACGGGCAATGTTAAATTTCTCAGCTTGATAGTACACAAAAACTTATTAATATTTTATATGATACACATACTGCTTTGTATTCACTAAATATTTTTAAATAAATGACAAAATTATAATTATTGGGAAGTGTATACTGGTAATTAAATATGATTTTCTTAATTAACTGGTATGTGTTCTTAAGCTCTTCAGACCACACTGGAGGGATATAACTAAAGAAACAAGGTACATGACTCATGATAGAATTTGAATCCAGCTAATTGGAACTAATTGCTAAGAGGTACCCTGTGAATTGTCCAATTTTATCATTAAGTTCAGGGAATGAGAAACCACCATGAAAAATCAATGAAACAACATCTCAAAATGTACCTTGCCTGATTATGTAATAATTATGTTCAGCTTCAATTAATTATAACAATTAAGTAGTGCTTACTGTACTGGTAGCATTAACTCATTACATTAAATTATTAGCAACAAAAATTAACTTGTGACCCAAAAGGGGAATGACTTTCTTGTGATATATTAGCATTTGAGAAAATGATTAATATGCCTTTTTTGAAGACACAGATACAAAGATTCCTTTTAAAAAACAGTTTCTATTAAGTGATTCTTACTCCCACATCAGTTAATATTATACAATATTAAATGTTATATGGCATAAGTATATTAACACTGGAGGGAAAAAAGGGATTAAGAATTTTTTTCAAAACTCAGCCTGGGCAACATTGCGAAACCCCGTCTCTACTAAAAATACAAAAATTAGCCAGGTGTGGTGGTGCATGCCTGTCATCCCACCTACTTGGGAGGCTGAGGAAGGAGAACTGCTTGAACCTGGGAGGCAGAGGTTGCAGTGAGTTGAGATAGCGCCACTGTGCTCTAGCATGGGTGACAGAGCAAGACCCAGTCTCAAAAAAGGAAAAAAAAAAAAGAATTTTGGAAAGAGAGGCAGCAGCCCCAGTCAGGGGCTTATAGATAAAACTCCCATCCCCCTGGGACAGAGCACCTGGGGAACGGGGCTGCTATGAGCACAGCTTCAGCAGACTTAAACATTCCTGCCTGCCAGTGGATCTCCAAGCATAGCACTCGAGCTCTGCTAAGGGACAGACTGCCTCTTCAAGTGGGTCCCTGACTCCTGTGCCTCCTGACTGGGAGACAACTCCCAGCAGGGGTCAACAGAAACCTCATACAGAAGAGCTCCGGCTGGCATCTGGTGGGTGCCCCCTGGGACAAAGTTTCCAGAGGAAGGAACAGGCAGCAATCCTTGCTGTTCTGCACCCTTCGCTGGTGATACCCAGGCAAATAGTGTCTGGAGTGGACTTCCAGCAAACACCAGCAGACCTGCAGCAGAGGGGCCTGACTATTAGAAGGAAAACTAACAAACAGAGAGGAATAGCATCAACATCAACAAAAAGGACGTCCACACAAAAACCCCATCCGAAAGTCACCAACATCAAAGACTAAAGGTAGATAAATCCACAAAGATGAGGAAAAACCAGCACAAAAAGGCTGAAAATTCCAAAAACCAGAACGCCTCTTCTCCTCCAAAGGATCAAAACTCCTCGCCAGCAAGGGAGCAAAACTGGATGGATAATGAGTTTGAACAGAAGTAGGATTCAGAAGGTGGGTAATAACAAACTCCTCCGAGCTAAAGAAGCATGTTCTAACTCAATGCAAGGAAGCTAAGAACTTTGAAAAAAGGTTAGAGGAATTGCTAACTAGAATAACCAGTTTAGAGGAAAACATAAATGACCTGATGGAGCTGAAAAACAAAGCACAAGAACTTCATGAAGCATTCACAAGTATCGATAGCCAAATCGATGAAGCAGAAGAAAGGATATCAGAGATTGAAGGTCAACTTAATGAAATAAAGTGTAAAGACAAGATCAAAGAAAAATGAATGAAAAGAAATGAACAAAGCCCCCAAGAAATATGGGACTATGTGAAAAGACCAAATCTACATTTGATTGGTGTACCTGAAAGTGATGGGGAGAATAAAACCAAGTTGGAAAGCACTCTTCAGGATATTAAGCAGGAGAACTTCGCCAACCTAGCAAGACAGGCCAACATTCAAATTCAGGAAATACAGAGAACACCACAAAGATACTACTTGATAAGAGCAACCCCAAGACACAAGGTTGAAATGAAGGAAAACATGTTAAGGGCAACCAGAGAGAAAGGTCATGTTATCCACAAAGGGAAGCCCATCAGACTAACAGAGGATCTCTCTGCAGAAACCCTACAAGCCAGAAGATAGTAGGGGGCCAATATTCAACATTCTTAAAGAAAAGAATTTTCAACCCAGAATTTCATATCCAGCCAAACTAAGCTTCATAGGTGAAGGAAAAATAAAATCCTTTACAGACAAGCAAATGCTGAGAGATTTTTGTCACCACCAGGCCTGCCTTACAAGAGCTCCTGAAGGAAGCACTAAATATGGAAAGGAACAACTGGTACCAGCCACTGCAAAAACATACCAAATTGTAAAGACCATCGACACTATGAAGAAACTGCATCAACTAATAGGCAAAATAATCAACTAGTATCATAATGACAGGATCAAATTCACACATAAAAATATTAACCTTAAATGTAAACAGGGTGAAGGCCCCAATTAAAAGACACAGACTGGCAAATTGGATAAAGAGTCAAAACCCATCAGTGTGCTGTATTCAGGAGACCTATCTCATGTGCAAAGACACACATAGGCTCAAAATGAAGGGATGGAGGAAGATTTACCGAGCAAATGGAAGGCAAAAAATAGCAGGGGTTACAATCGTAGTCTCTGATAAAACAGACTTTAAACCAACAAAGATCAAAAAACACAAAGAAGGGCATTACATAATGGTAAAGTGATCAATGCAACAAGAAGAGCTAACTATTCTAAATATATATATATATGCACCCAAAACAGGAGCACCTAGATTCATAAAGCAAGTTCTTAGAGACTACAAAGAGACTCAGACTCCCACACAATAATAGTAGGAGAGTTTAACACCCCACTGTCAACATTAGACAGATCAACAGGATAGAAAATTAACAAGGATATTCAGGACTTGAACTCAGCTCTGGACCAAGTGGACCTAATAGACATCTAAAGAACTCACCACCCCAAAACAACAGAATATACATTCTTCTCAGCACCACATCACACTTACTCTAAAACTGACCATATAATTGAAAGTAAAACACTCCTCAGCAAATGCAAAAGAATGGAAATCATAACAAACAGTCTCTCAGACCACAGTGCAATCAAATTAGAACTCAGGATTAAGAAACTCACTCAAAACTGCACAACTACAATGTATCAGAATCTCTGGGACACAGCTAAAGCAGTGTTTAGAGGGAAATTTATAGCACTAAATGCCCACAAGAGAAGGCAGGAAAGATCTAAAATTGACACCCTTACATCACAATTAAAAGAACGAGAGAAGCAAGAGCAAACAAATTCAAAAGGTAGCAGAAGACAAGAAATAACTAAGATCAGAGTAGAACTGAAGGAGATAGATACACAAGAAACCCTTAAAAAAATCAGTGAATCCAGGAGCTGGTTTTTGGAAAAGATTACAAAATAGATAGACTGCTAACCAGATTAATAAAGAAGAAAAGAGAGAAGAATCAAACAGACACAATAAAAAATGATAAAGGGGAGATCACCACTGATCCCACAGAAATACAAACTACCATCAGAGAATACTATAAACACCTCCACACAAATAAACTCGAAAATCTAGAAAAAATGGATAAATTCCTGGAAACATACACCCTCTTAAGACTAAACCAGGGAGAAGTCAAATCTCTGAATACACCAATAACAAGTTCTGAAATTGAGGCAGTAATTAATAGCCTACCAACCAAAAAACGCCCAGGACCAGATGGATTCATGGCCGAATTCTACCAGAGGTACAAAGAGGAGCTGGTACCGTTCCTTCTGAATTGATTCCAAACAATATATAAAAAGGGACTCCTCCTTAACTCATTTGATGAGGTCAGCATCATCTTGATACCAAAACCTGGCAGAGACACAACAAAAAAAGACAATTTCAGGCCAATATCCCTGATGAACATCGTTTCAAAAATCCTCAGTGAAATACTGGTAAACTGAATCCAGCAGCACATCAAAAAGCTTATCCACCACGATCAAGTCAGCTTCATCCCTGGGATGCAATGCTGGTTCAACATATGCAAATCAATAAATGTAATCCATCACATAAACAGAACCAATGACAAAAACCACATGATTATCTCAATAGATGCAGAAAAGGCCTTCAATAAAATTCAACACCCCTTCATGCTAAAAACTGTCAATAAGCTAGGTATTGATGGAACATATCTCAAAATAATAAGAGCTATTTATGACAAACCCATAGCCAATATCATACCGAATGGGCAAAAGCTGGAAGCATTCCCTTTGAAAACTGCCAGAAGACAAGGATGCCCTCTCTCACCACTCCTATTCAACATAGTATTGGAAGTTCTGGCCAGGGCAATCAGGCAAGAGAAAGAAGTAATGCATATTCAAATAGGAAGAGAGGAAGTCAAATTGTCTCTGTTTGCAGATGACATGACTGTGTATTTAGAAAACCCCATCATCTCAACCCAAAATCTCCTTAAGCTGATAAGCAACCTCAGCAAAGTCTCAGGATACAAAATAAATGTGCAAAAATCACGAGCATTCCTACACACCAATAGTAGACCAACAGAGAGCCAAATCATGAGTGAACTCCCATTCACGATTGCTACAAAGAGAATAAAATACCTAGGAATACAACTTAAAAGGGATGCGAAGGACCTCTTCAAGGAGAACTAGAAACCACTGCTCAAGGAAATAAGAGAGAACACAAACAAATGGAAAAACATTCCATGCTCATGGATAGGAAGAATGAATATTGTGAAAATGGCCATACTGCCCAAAGTAATTTATAGATTCAATGCTATCCCCATCAAGCTACCATTGACTTTCTTCACAGAATTAGAAAAAAACTAAATTTCATATGGAACCAAAAAAGAGCCCGTATAGCCTAGACAATCCTAAGCAAAAAGAACAAAGCTAGAGGCCTCACGCTACCTGACTTCAAACTATACTACAAGGCTACAGTAACCAAAACCGCATGGTACTGGTACCAAAACAGATAACTAGACCAATGGAACAGAACAGAACAGAGGCATCAGAAATAACACCATACATCTACAACCATCTGATCTTTGACAAACCTGACAAAAACAAGCAATGGGGAAAGGATTCCCTATTAAATAAATGGTGTTGGGAAAACTGGCTAGCCATTTGTAGAAAACTGAAACTGGACCCCTTCCTTACACCTTATACAAAAATTAACTCAAGATGGATTAAAGATTTGAAAGTAAGACCTAAAACCCTAAAAACCCTGGAAGAAAACCTAGGCAATACCATTCAGGACATAGGCATGGGCAAAGACTTCATAACTAAAACACCAAAAGCAATGGCAACAAAAGCTAAAATTGACAAATGGGATCTAATTAAACTAAAGAGCTTCTGCACAGCAAAAGAACCTATTATCAGAGTGAACAGGCAACCTACAGAATGGGAGAAAATTTTGCAATCTATTCATCTTACAAAGGGCTAATATCCAGAATCTACAAGGAACTTAAACAAATTTACAAGGCAAAAAAAAAAAAACCCATCAAAAAGTGGGCGAAGGATATGAACAGATGCTTCTCAGAAGATATTTATGCAGCCAACAAATATATGAAAAAAACCTCATCATCACTGGTCATTAGAGAAATGCAAATCAAAACCACAATGAGATACCATCTCATGCCACTTAGAATGGTGATCATTAAAAAGTCAGGAAACATGCTGGAGAGGATGTGGAGAAATAGGAATGCTTTCTCATTGTTGGTGGGAGTGTAAATTAGTTCAACTATTGTGGAAAACACTGTGGCGATTCCTTAAGGATCTAGAACCAGAAATACCATTTGACCCAGCAGTCCCATTACTGGGCATATACCCAAAGGATTATAATCATTCTGCTATAAAGACATATGCACACGTAAGTTTATTGCGGCACTATTCACAATAGCAAAGACTTGGAACCAACCCAAAAGTCCATCAGTGATAGACTGGATTAAGAAAATGTGGCACATATACACCATGGAATACTATGCAGCCATATAAAAGGATGAGCTCATGTCCTTTGCAGGGACATGGATGAAGCTGGCAACCATCATTCTCAGCAAACTAAAACAGGAACAGAAAACCAAACACCACATGTTCTAACTCATAAGTGGGAGTTGTACAATGAGAACACATGGACCCAAGGAGGGGAACATCACACACCGGGGCCTGTCAGGGGCTGGGGGGCTAGGGGAGGGATAGCATTAGGAGAAATACCTAATGTAGATGATGGGTTGATGGGTGCAGCAACCACCATGACACTTGTATACCATACCTATGTAACAAACCTGCACATTCTGCACATGTATCCCCAAACTTAAAGTATAATAATAATAAAAAAAGAAAATGGAGTCCATATACCCAGTGGAGTACTGTTCTGCCATAAAAAAGAATGAGATCCAGTCATTTGCAACAACGTGTGTGGAACTGGAGGTCATTATGTTAAGTGAAATAAGCCAGCTACAGAAAGGCAAGCTTCACATGTTGTCACTTATTTGTGCAAGCTAAAAATTAAAACAAATGAACTCATAGATATAAGAGTAGAATGATGATTACCAGAGGCTGGAAAGGGTGGTGGGGTGATGGTACGGGGGAAGTGGAGATGGTTAATGGCTACAAAAAATAGAATGAGTAAGATCTAGTATTTGATAGCACAGCAGGGTGACTGTAGTCAATAATAATGTAATTGTACATTTAAAAATAACTGAATGAATATAATTGTTTGTGACACAGAGCATAAATGCTTGAGGGAGATGGCCACTCCATGTACCCTGATGTGATCATTACACATTGTATGCCTGTATCAAAATATCTTCTACACCTCATAAATATATGGACCCACTATGTACCCACAAAAATTTAAAATTTAATAATAAATAGGAAGTGTATATCTACATACTAGCAATGAACACTTGGACACCAAAAAAAACACAGGTGTCAATCTAAGAAAACATATATTGAATTTTATATGCTGTAAACTATAAAATGCTAATGAAAGAGGTCAAAGTAGTTACTTATAAATGGAAAGATATACTCTATTCATGGACAGACAGGAAGACTCAGAATTGATAGAGATGTCAGTACTCCCCAAATGGATTTAAAAAACAAAAAAGAATTTTTTTCAATACTCCATACTGAACACATAACCTCCCTCACCTTAATGGAATCGCTATAAATGATTTTTTAAAAAATATAAATTAATAAATGCATGATCAAGCGTAAAAACAAAAAGGGAAAGCTTGGCAAACTAGAAACTCTGAGAAAGTTCTGAAAGATGGAAAACTCAGGCAATTTTATTGAAAAAGGAAACAATACATCCGAATGCTTGGAATTGAGGCCTATATCAAAAGGGGAGAACAACACTAAGAGCTTTTTATTTTCAGATGTCTTTGATACCTGGAGCAGAAAGGAGTTGGTACTGGCAGGGCAGTTAGTGAGGTCCAACAGCAAGAATAGTCAGTGTTATGCCTGCATATTTCTCACCCCCATGAACTGGGCCACACATTAGTAAGGGGAAGTATCTGTCAGTCTCTTGGCAGGATTAATGAGAATGGTAGCTTGAATAAAAGAATAAAATGGTGCCCCTGAGAGGAACAGGGAAACCAATCACGGAAGAAAAGCTGCTGAGGCTGAGTACCTGGCAGTTCACCTATCCATCCTCCAGTCTTACTTAAAATGCATTGAAAATACTATCCAGTGCTTGTCAAGAGATTTTGATTACAAAGTTGAGTATACAAGCCCAAATTTCTGCAAATGGAATAAAAGCCAATTATGAATGGGAGATAACAAACCCAGTAAATGAAAGAATTTATACCCAAGAAAACATAATTAAAAGAGCAAATAGGACAAGGTTTTAAAACTTAATTTGTGTCCTTAGAGAGTAAAAAAGGACTTGTACCTATGAAGAGAAAGAATGTTACCAAAAAGAAACAAACTGCAGGCCGGGCGCGGTGGCTCATGCCTGTAATCCTAGGACTTTGGGAGGCCGAGGCGGGCGGATCACAAGGTCAGGAGATCAAGACCATCCTGGCCAACATGGTGAAACCCCGTCTCTACTAAAAATACAAAAAATTAGCCGGGTGTGGTGGCGGGCGCCTGTAGTCCCAGCTACTCGGGAGGCTGAGGCAGGAGAATGGCTTGAACCCGGGAGGCGGAGCTTGCAGTGAGCCAAGATCGCGCCACTGCACTCCAGCCTGGGCGACAGAGTGAGACTCCGCCTCAAAAAAAAAAAAACAAAAAAACTGCAATCTTAGATATTAAAAGTAATGATTATTAAAAAATCTCCACAGAAGAGCTGCATAGCAGATCTAGATATTCATAAGTATTCATACATATTTCTAGAAGGAGGCATTAGAGATAATGGAAATATGATTCAATATGTGAGGATTTTCCTATGGTAAATAAAGAATGGTCTACAGATTAAACGGCCCAACCAACTACTGAGCCAAAAAAAAAAAATTTGAATGATACTTTTCCCACCCTTGCAAATACACACGTGCACACATACATACATGTTTAGACATGACATAATGAATTTTCAGGACATCACTATTAAGGAGAAAAGCCTAGAAGATTGAGTGGGTATAAAATACATAAAAAAAACAAAAATTATCTTGATAATTAGAATATGCATCAGAAACTATGAATTCAAGATAGCTGAGCAGTATCTTCAAAGTTCAAAGAAAAGTCAATTTGACAGTAGAAATTTTCATCAAGTTAAAATATCAATCACATGTGACAACAATATTAATATTGTGACTCAGGAGTGCTACTGACAATGAATCCATTCTGAAACAATAAAAAATGTATTCTGGCAAGAAGAAAAATTAATACAGGAAGAGATAGTGGGGTCCAAGAAGCAATGCTAAGCAGGGCAATTACTAAGAATTCTTCAGTCAAAATAAGCATTAATTACAAGTTTCAAAAGTATAGTTCTTGCATCAAAGGACAGAGAGAGAAGATAAACCTGAACATTTTACTTTGTTAGGGGAAGGATATGTATACTTGTTTATTTTAGTTCAGAGTAGGGCAAATAAAATGTAAACCATCTAAAAATTCAGAAAGAAAGGAGGAGCTATATTTTTTAAAAAGCAAAAATTAAGACATAAGACATATAATAGATCGAAATAATTAGTATTGGAAATAAATGTATCTATAAAATAAAATCCAGATAAATAAACACATGAATAAATTATGTCAAGCAAATGCCACAAAATGAAAGGATTTGAAAAATGCTATAAAAACAAAAGGGTTCTGTTCAGTCAATGGCAGTATCACTTGTATACAACTACTAATCCCATAGATAACAATGAAAAACTGGAAATATATATTTTAAAAAGTATTTCGAAGGCATGTAAAATTTTTAAAAAGTAGGAAGAAAGTAGACAGAAATTTACCCTTGAAAGGCAAATACTGCATTTGGTTACATTTGCATTTATAAGACTTTTTGCCTGAGGGCAGTCCTCAGTCTGTCCATTATTAGGCTGCTAAAACTCAAGCAGAAAAACCACAATCTCATCTGCTTGAGGAGTTTAAGGATGGAGTTTTGTACTACTTGACCAGTGGGAAACTGGGAGGGCTTATCCTAAAGAAGAAAGCCACAGAAGAGAGAGATGAAATCTGCATATAAGCTCTGTCCAAATACTGCATGTAAGTGAGATTCCAGGATTCCTAGGAACAGGCAATATCTGAGAGATTCAGCTGCAGCTCATTGACAGAAAGTGTTTTGAATTTGAGTCCAGCCCGCTAGAATAAAAATGATCACTTTTCAAAGAAGGTGATATGATCCAGAATCTCTATAACATTTTTTCCTAAATTTGGTGAAATGTTTAAACCCATGCATCTAAGCTCAATGAACCCTAGAAAGAATAAATACAAAGAAAACCACACCCAGGCATATTATAGCCAAACTGCTGAAAACCAAAGATTAAAAAAAAAAGAGAATGTGGAAGACAGCCAGACAGAAAAGACACATTTAACACATTACAATAATTCAAGTAATGCCTGATCTCTCATTAGAAACATAGAAGACATAGAGTCGAAATCTTAAAGTGCTAAGAGAAGAAATAAATCAATGCAGAATTCTATTAAAAATCCATGAAAAAAATGAACCCTTCCTCCCTCCCTCCCTCCCTCCCTCCCACCAAAAGTCTTCTGCAAAGGTAGTGTTGGAAGCTTTAGGGATAAGAGGGGTAATCATATGGAGGAGTAGTGCCAGCTCAGAATGAGGTATCAGACTCTGAGTAAGTTAAGAAGGGTATTTGGGTGTGGGCAGAAGTTTTGATGGTAAGATTGGTTATATACTAGGGAATTGATCCTTTAAGTAAATATATTGAAGATAATTGGAGCTAGGTTTCTCACTGGTGGATAAAGGAGGTATTAATTCATAGGGAGAAATCTATAATGGACTTTATTGTAATGGATTGGAATTAAAGATATCAGTGTGAATTCAAATATGCATAATCAATAGAAATAATCCCACCTAGTGCCTAGATCTTGATTTTTAAATACCATTCTCCAGTAAAATGAACTAGGACTCCTTGGAAAAAAGAAAAAAAAAAAGCTTGATTCAAGGTCAGGAGCAGAAAATGCAAGTGTCCTCTAGCCTGAGACTGGTCTTTTCTTTAGTGAACTGACACCACACTAGGAAAGGAGCTTACCTGAGAATGCGTAACTTGCATTTCAGATGATATCACGATTTAGAAAGCAAAATCTGGGTTCTTTCTGTTTGGGGCATTAAAAAAGTTGTTAATCAATCCTTTAACAATGTAAAAATGCACACTGACAACGCTTCCTGGCTCTCAAAAGGCCCCAAATATATTAGTACACAGTGTGCATATTTTCCACACACACACATTTTCACTTAATTATTATAAATATATGTTCAGATTCACCATACAACATTCCCTAGCCTACAAATATTATAGTCATGCTCTAAAAGAGCATTTCCTAAGCAGTTTGAAATTGCAATGTACTAATATACAGATGTCCCTCAGTACCAGTGGAGGATTGGTTCCAGGACCCTCTCGGGATACCAAAATCCAAGGATGCTCAAGTCCCTTATATAAAATGGTATAGTATTTACATATAACCTACTCACATCCTCCATTATACTTTAAATAATCTTGAGATTACTTATAATACCTGATACAATGTAAATGCTATGCAAATAGTTATACTGTATTGTTTAGGGAATAATGACAAGAAAAAGTCTATACATGTTGAGTCCAGATACAACCATGTTTTTTATTTCTGAATATTTTCATTTCATGGTTGGTTGTATCCACAGATGTAAAACCCACATAGACAGAGGCCCAATATTTATTGATGACATCATTCTTCTCCCCTGAAAATGTCATATGACTTTATATGTTAAAACTCACATGATTTTGTTAGTTCTTTATTTCTTCTCAAGATAAATGGAGGCATCCTGTGGTACTACAAAGCCAGGGTGGAAAGCACAAAAGAAGTTGCAAAAACTAAATCCTAGGGTGTATTCAGTTAGCAAGAAGAGAATAGAGTTGAACATTAAGCTTTGTCTTATCTCTTGGACATAGTGATAGGGTGGGAAGTACCAAACTCTCCCCAGGGGAGGCCCTTCTGATAGAGAAAACTAGAAACCTAAAGACCCAGATCTAAGCTAAATAAGAAGGAAGTGAACATGACCAGATATCATAGACAAGAATAGGGGATAGGGGAGAGGGTGGCTCAGGATATTTTACTAAATGATTTGCATGCCACCTTGGCTGGCCTTTATTAAATGAGTCCAGCAGTCCATATGGCATTTATTACTTCTGGGACATCTTGAAAGTTCCACGTGGCCTTTGAAACATAAGTTATTAGTCAATAATTGTATGCAGTGAGCTTGAACCATCTTTGGTACTGGAAAGTGCTGTTCTTGACCTTTGTTCCATAAATAAAGCAGGTTGATAAGAATAGAAGAAAAAAGTGGAAATGAAGAGACAGATGAGAGAGAAGTGGGAGAGAAATAAGGTAGAGTACTGAGTGGTGAGGCAGGAGAGAAGCGGTGAAGTAGAGGAGAGTAAGGGTGAGACAACAAAGGAATGGCTGACATAGAAAAGGGGGCTGGATCATGAAGGATATCTACATACTGGTTTTCCTCTCATTTCCCCTTAGAACAAGTTCCTGATGCACAAGTAGGTATTCCTTCAAGAAATGTGACGAGGGCTGACCAAAGAGGTGCCACGGTAGATACCTATATGGAGGTCAAGTAATACAAAGTCATATATCTTCCTCCTGCTGCCTTGGTGCTGATCCTAGCAATAGACAGAATCTCTGTCATTCACTGGATGTGTTATTTGGGCAAATCACTTCATCTCTGTGAATCTTAGTTTCTATATCTGTTTAAAATTTGAAAACAATAATGTTTGCTTGACCTATTTCATTGTTTGGATGTGTTCCCCTCCAAAATTCTTGTTAGAATTTAATCCCCATTGTGGTGGTATTAAGAAGTGGGGTCTTTTGGGAAGTGATTAAGTCATGAGGGCTCCACCTTTGTGAATGGGAGTAACGCCCTTATAAAAGAGGTTTCAGAGAGGTGTCTGGCCCTTCCATTTTTTTCTGCCATGTGAAAATATAGTGTTCATCCCGCCTCTGGAGGACGCTGCAGCAAGGTGTAATCTTGGAAGCCGAGAGTGAGTCTTCACCAAACACCACATCTGCGGATGCCCTGATCTTGGGAAGCCTTAACTGTGAGAAATAAATGTCTATTATTTATAAATGACCCAGTCTGTAGTATTTTGTTATAGCAGCATGAATGGAATGAGACAAATGGGTACGCAAATAAATAAAATATGACAAAGCACTTGGCTACCTGTCAAGTTCTAGAAAACGAATTATTAGTTGATAATTGTAGGATGTTTTTGGGGGTAAGATTGACATGCTTCCCAAGAACTCAGGAAGAATGTGTCTCTGTGAACATTAGTAAGATACACACACACACACACACACACACAACACACACACACACACGATGTGCAGGGATAAAGCTAGAGGTAAAACTGCATCTAAAATGTCAGATTGCAGACTTCCAACACACAGCTTCAACTACAGGGACCTGGGTGTACAAGGAGACTGAGTGGGAAAGTGAGTACAAATTAGGTAAAAGAAACCTAATCCACTGCCATTTAATCTGTTTGGAGAAAGGCTGTGAACATATGATTGTCATACTTGATCATAGTGCTTCTCAGACATTTATAAAATGAAATAAAATATAAAATATCAGAGAGTATTGTATGTTGCAAGGGTGAGAAGTGTTTAGTGAAACTTACCTTTGGGTTGCATGAGAGAAAAGGTGATGTCTGTGCGTGTGTGCATGCACCCCTGCACTTTTATCTCTGTTTCAGCTGACTCTGTCATGGATCATAAAGTTTAGACGGACCCCTTGTTCTGATTCCCCGCTAGCCTGAAAACTTTCTGCCAATATTTTGTTTTTGCATGAAGCTTCCCTGTGAGGAGAGAATGCCCTGATCTCCTGATCTGCTGTAGCCAGTCCTCCGGTGGTATTTAACTTTATGTGTAAATTAGTCACAGTGGTACTTGCCTTTATGCATCAGTTTCAACGAACAGGGATGCTGTGAGTCTTCCTTTGAGATGGATCTACTTTCAGTGTAGAGAGTGAACATCTTATTTCTAAGCTGGGACTGGGGTGAATTCATCAACTGAAATGACACTGTGGGAAACCTTTTGGTGGCATACAGCCTTCCCTTGTGACCTCCAACCTTGGCCAGCACTTAGGGTGACCAATTGTCTCTAACAGGTCTAGGACTGAGAGGGGTTCCTGTGCCATGTGACAGTTAGTACTAAAACTGAGATAGTCTCAGGCAAACTACAATGGGTTGATCACCCTACCAGCCCCTTTATATTTGAACTACAGCAGAAATTCTGGCACAGGTATCATGAAGAGGTAGTGATGTGAGGGGTAGGAGGAAAACTGAAACACTTATTGCCACAAATGGGCACAGAGAACAGAGGACTTAGCAGCCATCCAGGCAAAGGAGCAAGGTTCCCATGACCTACAAATCGCCAGCAAGATCCCCCACTTGAGATTAAATGCCTTCAGGGCCTTCAAGAGCTTCCCTTTCTCATTTTCCCAGCTATTCTGGAGCCTCTGACTATATGTCTGCCTAAGCACTGGTGCAAATAATTGGTTAACACAACCAACATACTGATAGCAAGCCTATATGAATTGAAGGTAAATTTCTCAGGTCAGTTTCATGAGCAAACTGCCGCCTTTAGTAGTCCCAAACTTCAAGCTCACCAGACATCTATTTTTGTAGTCATTATGAAAGGTTGCTGACATTTGGTTGCATATTCACATGTTGTGTCCTTTGGTTTGATTCCAGGGCTACCTTACCATTTTACTTGGAGGGTGCCACCCTGTAGGGTGTAACTCATTGAGGCAATTTTTTTGGCCATGGGACAGGTACTCTACTAAGCGTCACAATATCTATGTTGTAGACCCCATTCTGTCTCTAACGTGCTTTTTTATTTTTTTGGCTGTTGGTGGTGGCATACAAATAGGATGCTTACTCGTTCTAAGAAACCAAGTCAGAGGAAAATATCATTTTATAAACAGGTTTACACATATTTCAAGTCCAAATGTTGGAGCAATAGTTTGCTGCAAACATTTGCTGTTTTGCCATCATTTCTTTTTTTATTGAGAAAAATGCATACAGTTGGATAAGACTGAAAAACTTACACAACCTCATAACCACAATCTAATCAAGATATGGGATATTTTCATGAATGATTGTAAAGGTGACAATCAGGGTTTTTTTTTTTTTTTTGAACCATGCCTTTTTTAAAAAAATTAAACTTTTAATTTTGAAATAATTACATATTCACATTTGGTTTCCAGAAATAATACAGAAAATTTCCACATACCCTCTATATATGTTTCTTCCATGAGTAATATTTTTCAAAACTGTAGTACAGTATCACAACTAGGATATTGATATCGGCGTAGTCAAGATACAGAACATCTTGATTACCACAAAAGTTTATCTTGTTGCCCTTTTATAGAGACACCTACCTACCTCTCTCAAACCCTGGAACCACTAATCTGTTCTCTATTTCTATAATCATTTCAACAAAGTTGTTTAAATGAAATCATATGGTATGTAGCCTTTTGGGACTGGCTTTTTTCACTCAGCATAATTCCTTGGAAATCTGTTCACATTGTTGTGGTGTCCGTTATTCCTTCTTTTTATTTCTCAGTAGCAGTCCATCTAACCAGCTTTTTTTATCTTAGGCCAGTCGCTCTTCTCCCCTTGACTTTGATTTTCTCATCTGTAAAATGCAGAAGTTAGAGTGGATGACACTAAGATCTTTTTTATTGTAAAATTTTTATTTTACGGGCTCTCATCTCCTGTAAAGATTTTTTATAATTTTAAACCAAAATTTTTATAATTATAAAACACAACTTAATCTATTCTGTTATCCAATGTGCTCTCAGGCTAAATGCAGGAATAGCAAGCCTTGTAAGAGAGGAGGATAGGGCAGGACGTGAGAGGCTGGCCAGCATCAGGTGTGAGTTGAGCATCTGATTATGTTTTTCCTGGATTTTATATCTAGCAAATGACCATTGGGGCTAGCCATAGGTTTGAGTTATGGTGCCCTTTCCTTTCTCCCTTAGCATCAAAGTTAGCTTTATTGCCTGACTTGTATTACTTGATTTTTGGCCTAGACTGAAAATCTGGTGGGCAACTACAAGGTTGAGGTCATAACAAAAGAAAGCCCTCAAAACAATCTAAATTGTTAGAATTATGCGACATTTGCCAGAAGCCATAAAAAAAAGTGTACAGCTTTGCAAATCATGCTCCAGTTTAACAATTATTCATTCTGTGTGGGGTTCTGGCTGGTGCCATGGTGGAGGCATGAGGAGTGAAATATAAGCCCTAATGGACTGCCATGAATAATGGAGATCCATATTTACATTTGAGAAAAAGTGAAGCAGCACTAGGTTAATAATAACTATCTTTCCATCATCTCTGCCAGAAAAGTAGGGTCCTTCCCTACTATGCCTCCGAAACACTTATATATTCAGGGCAAATTGACTGCCTAATACCTCCTAGAGCCAGTCTCTGTACGTTCTCTCTGGAACAAGGTCAGCCCATATACAACTCTGAGACCTGAGCCTGCATCTTAAGTTGTTCAGATGACCAAAAGAACTGGGTTCTGATAATTCTGTATCATTAATTATTTGTGCTTTCACTCTTAGCTTTTCAACACATACTGTTTTTTCCCCAGTTGCCTAAGACACCATATGTCATTTATTTTTCTTATGTCAATTTTCTCAGTTTTCAGATGAAAATATCTCAAGAGATTCCTGACTCTGGTTCTGCAACTCCCCAGGATGTCTCCAATTATCACAAGAGGTGTCACAACATTCTCCCAGACAAAATTCTAATTAATTCATTAATGAAAACAGGAGTTTTGGATATAGTAGGGCTAAAGGTGGGACTGAGTTGTCATAAAATCTACCAATGGGGAGCATTCGATTCCCAGAAGGTCAGGAGTTGCAGGGAATGTCTTTCCCCTAAAGCCATGACCCTCCTGTCTGCAGTGAATATGTGCCCTCTAAGAATGAGTGACAGCTATATAAGGAATAAGCTGCAAGAGATATTGAAGGAGTCCAACCAATTTGAAAATTCAACTAAACAGCTTAATTAGGGACGAGTGAGCTTTTAAAAGTGAAACAGCTCTGTGTATTCAAGTGACTTGGGCACTGTTTGGAATTATCCGTAGAAACAATATTAGAAGTAACTATTGGTTTCTTAGGAGACCAAAAATCCTCAGAAAATGAACTAATGGTATTACTGTGAATTCCAGAAAGCAGATGGGGCAGAAGTCCATGGTCTGCAGAGATGAGGTATGAGACAGGGAGATGTTCTTGTTTCAGAGCAGTGTTTAAAATGGTTGAAGCTTGTCTTTTGTGCTCTTTTATCTTTGCTTCCTTGTCTTTCTCTTTAGGTCTCTGTGTCTTAGTGAAACTCAGCCCATCTTCAGCAGCTTATTCAAATCTGTCATACCCCATCCCCCAAATGCTTCATGTTCTACCAGTTTGATAATATATAAGAAAAAAAAATAAACCTTTCCCCATTGTTTTCTGGCTATCCTGCCAGTCTTTAAGATTATACATATTTTTAAAATTACTGTTGCTTTCATTTTCTTTTTCTTTAATTTCAACTTTTATTTCAGTTACAGGGGGTACATGTACAAGTTTGTTACATAGGAATATTGCATGATGCTGAGGTTTGGGGTGCAGATCCCATTACTCAGATAGTGATCATAGTACCTGATAGGTAGTTTTTCAACCCATAGCTCCTTCCCTCCCTCCAGCCTCTAGTAGTCTGCAGTGTCTGTTGTTGTCAGGTTTGTGTCCATGTGTGCTCAATGTTTAGCTCTCACTTATCAGTCAAAACATGTGATATTTGGTTTTCTGTTCCTGTGTTAGTTTGCTTAGGATTATGGCCTCCAACTGCAACCATGTTGCTGCAAAGGACATGATTTCATTCTTTTTTATGGTTACATAGTATTCCATGGTGTATATTACCACATTTTCTTTATCCAATCTACCATTGATTGGCATCTGGGTTGATTCCATGTCTTTGCTATTGTGAATAGTGCAATGGTGAACATACAAGTACATGGATCTTTTTTGTAGAATGATTTACTTTCCTTTGGGTATATATCCAGTAATTGGATTCGTAGGTCAAATGGTAGCTCTGTTTTAAGTTCTTTGAGAAATCTTTTGACTCCTTTCCACAGTGGCTGAACTAATTTAAATTTCCACCATCAGTGTATAAGCATTCCCTTTTCTCTGCAGCCTTGCCAGCATCTGTTGTTTTTAACTTTGATAATAGACATACTGACTGGTGTGAGATGGTATCTCATTTTGATTTTGATTTGCATTTATCTAATGATTCTTGATATTGAGCATATCTTCATATGTTTGTTGGCCACGTGTATGTCTTCTTGTGAGAGGTGTCTGTTCATGTCATTGGCTCATTTTTCAATGGGGTTATTTATTTTTTGCTTATTAAGTTCCCTATAGATTCTGGATATTAGGCCTTTGTCAGATGCATAGTTTGCGAATATCTTCTCCTGTTCTGTAGGTTGTCTGTTTACTCTATTGATAGTTTCTTTTGCTGTGCAGAAGCTCTCTCGTTTAATTAGGTCCCACTTGTCTATTTTTATTTTTGTTGCAATTGCTTTTGGGGACTTAGCCAAAAATTCCTTGCCAAGGCTGATGTCGAGAAGAGTATTTCCTAGGTTTCTCTTCCAAAAATGTCTACTTGGTATGTGACTAACAACTCAAATTCTACTTGTACAAAACTGGATTCCAGATACTTTTCCCGATACCTTCTCTTACCTCATCTCAGATAATAGCAACTCAATTGTTTCAGTTTCTCAGACCAAGAATCTTGGTATTATTGTTGACTCTTCTTTGTCTCACATCTCACATTTCATTCTTCAGCAAATCTAACCACCCTGACCTACAAACTACTTGTACTTTGGAAGAACCATCAGCATTTCCTATTAGAAACTAAGAAAATAACAATTTAAAATGAAAAAAAAATAAATAAAAACAAAATAATGCAATGTGAGGGCACAACCCAGGACTCTGTAATAGTATTTTATTTGATGCCTTTATGAAATCCCCATTGGCAGACATAAAACTGTGAAAGGCCATTTCGTGCCTTCATTAATAAATGTTGCAATTATGTTCTAAAAATACAGTCATGTTTACCAATTAATTGTAGTAGACAAGTCACAGGTTAGCATTCAGTAAGCAATATGTTGCTGATTAAAACCAGAACATTATTCACATATGGTGAAGTAAATCATCCTGTAGGTATTTATGGAGAAGAGCATATTTTAACTCTTAATTTGTTAAATTTGGCATCAGTGATTTTTAGAAGTTTTCTTCCCATGGCTTAACTTATACAGTCTGAAACCATAACAAGCACGAATTTACCAACACTGTATTTGATCTTAAATATTCCCCACTCACAGATTTCCCCCACTTCTCAAGCTTATACCTTTTGTTTTATTCTATATAAGGAGCACGGGGGTGGGTTAATTACAGCTTTGCTTCTAACTGGCTGTGTGACCCTGGACAAACCCCTGTTCTTTCTGCTTCAATTCCCTCAATTGTAACGGGAGAACTACAATGATTCTCTCATTTCCTCCTTCACAACTGTGTCCTTCATCACAGATACATATAATATAAACTCTCTCTCAGAGACAGACTCTCTCTGTCTCTTACTCATGCATAGATACAAGTATTTAAAATGTTTTTTAGATTTGTATAAGAGTTGCAAGATAGTACAGAAGGTTGCTGTTTACTCTTCACTCAGCTTCCTCTAATGGTAACATCTCATATAACCATGGTACACTCATCAAAACTAAGAAATACTCATCTCATTTGAAATCACTGTTTTCTTTCACCTCCAGAATTTTGTCCATCTTATTCCTGCTGTATGGAATATTTCTCTACTTAGTGAAGTCATCCGTCTTTGCAGAGGAAGCCATCACAGACCACTTTAAGCCACTGGGCCTGCTTCTTCCTTTGCAGTCTCTGAGATCTCAACATCATGTGGTAGCTCACATATTTATTGGACATTTTTTATTGTCATGCCTCATCTTTCCTACAACATTGGAAGCTCCTAGCAAGAAAGAACTATATCTAGTAGTGCAGTGGTTCACAAATTGGTATGCACACCTACATTACCTGAGAATCAGATATCTACACCCCGTGCTGGACCACGTAAATCAGGGTCTACTTTTTAAAGCCCTTCAGATGCTTTAATCTAGTGAGTTCAAATATCCTGTTCAGTGGAAGTCACTACCCTTCAGCATCTACTATAGCCTCTGTCCTGGGTCCTCATCTTGTGTTTTTCTTCCTCCTTCACTGTTGCCCATTGATGATCTCCATCTTTTGGTCTTAATCTCTCTAAGCTTCAGTGTGCTTACCTACAAAATAGGGATAAAATAGTACCTTCCTCATACTGCTGCTATAAGCATTATAATTCAGGCACATACCTTAATGTATGCCAAGTGTGTCTGTCCTATAATAGCCCTAAAAAATGTTATACTTGGTTTTAGGCAAGACATTTTACTACTTTGTTTCCCTATCTGAAGATGAGAAAACTGAATACTGTACTCTCTTGGAGGGCCACCACTCAATGATTCTATTAATACCATCAATGTCATTTATGCATTTATAAGAGATGATTCACTTAACCTAACCAACTCTGTCCCCACCTCTGTTGTCACACTTGTTAGATTATGAATCCCTCATACTCGGGTTTATCTTGTTCATCTTCAATTCCCCACAGAGTTTCAGACACAGTGGCTGGGATGACAGTGAGGAAAGAAGATGAAGAAATAACTTATATTGGTTGTCCAGTCTGCCCTATGAGGGCTTAATGGCTGTTATTTCATTTCATCCTCAATATAGATCTTTTAAGTAGATCTTATCACCAAGATTTACTGATGAAGAAACCGAGGCTAAGGTGGATATTTTGCTAAAATTCCCATAGGAATAAGGGAATCAGAATTTTATTCAAGTATTGAATTGATTCAAAATCCCCATTCTGTCTTCTTTCCCTTGCTGACTCACCAAAGCAGTTCTCAACAAACAGGATTGAGTTGAATCAAGTTGAAAATGGAGGAGCTAAAAAAGAAAAACAAAAAAAGGAAGATTAAAGACTTCTATAGGAATTATTTTTATCACTCAATCAAATACTTAGAGCAGACAGCACTAGAGCTCACCGTTATATGCCTTTCTTTTCTTCTTCCTGGGTGTACAACTAAACTCTATTTTCCCACCTCCCTTACCTTTCAATAGGGCCATGTAACTAAGCTGTGGCCAAAGGAATGTGATCAAAACTAATGTGTACCACTATTTGTGTGTTCACTCATAGCAAACTTGAAGAACGCTTGTGGGAGATGACGCAATCTCAAGACAAAAATATCCTGGGTTCCAGAACGAACAAATGGACCATAACTTCCCCATACACCCTCCATTCTCCTTGAGAAGTGAAAAACAGGATGAATTTATGGCTTTTTTGGAGATCAAAACTATATGACCTATATTGAGGCTGTGACTGGGCATCAACCTCCTTAGATCTATGTTGTATCTAGCTTTCTGCTATTACTATACCCTCAATCTCATGAGTGCTTTTCTTGCCCCTTTTCCATTTGATTCTCACAATCCTAGGAGGTTTGCAGAATAAGAAATGTTAATCTTACTTTTCAGATGAAGAAACCAGAGGTCAGAGCTATTACCTGAATTGCCCAATGTGACATAGTTAACAGGTTGGAACAATCTTGCTTGTCAAGTCTCTATATCCTTTAACTACCTGCTTTGCAACTTTGTAATGTGGCAATATGAGCTTCTATTCCCTTCAGTACAAAGTAAAGTTGTTCATCTTTGTGGTTTTATTCATACTGTTCTGACCCTAATGTCTTTGCTTTTACTTTTGGCCACTACCACTTCCCTGATATGAAAATTTCTCTCCCTCCTTCTGCAGGCATACACACTGACATACAGTTTTACCTGGTTATGGAAATGTAAAATGGTACAGCTGCTGTAGAAAACAGTTTGGCAGTTCTTCAAAATGTTAAACACAGTTACCATATGACCCAACAACTCAACTCATAGATATATACTCAAAAAATTGAAAACATATGTTCACATAAAACTGTACACAAATGTTTATGGTAGCATTATTCATAATACCCAAACAATGGAAACAACTTAAATGTTCATCAACTGATGAATGGATAAACAAAATGTGGCATACCCTTATATGAAGTATCACTTAGCAATAAGACGGAGTGAAACACTGATACATGCTACAACATGGATGAGTCTTGAAGTACTATAATGAGTGAAAGAAGCCAGACACAAAAGGCCACATGTTGTGTAATTCCACTTATATGAAATGTCCAAAATAGACAAATCCATAGAGATGGAAAATAGCTTTGTGGTTGCCAGGAACTGGGGAGAGGGGGTATTGAGGAGTCACTGCTAATGGGTATGTAATTTCTTTTTGGAATGACGAAAATATTCTGGAGTTAGATGATGTTTACTTAGATAATGATGATAGTTTTATAACCTTGTGAATATACTAAAAACCACTGACTTGTACACTTTATATTGGTGAATTTCATGGCATGTGAATTATATTGCAATTTTTTAAAAGGCAAAAAAGAATGTTGCCTGGCTAACACCTATTTGCAGTTTACTATTTCACACATGCATCAACTCCTTCAGAAAGTTTTTCTTCATATCTCCCTCATGTGCTCCCATAACATCTGTGAGATTGTTACTACGTGTATTGTGATGACACATGTTTTTGCTTTGCTTCCTCTCAGATATTATGTAAGAATATAATATCTGAGCTCACCAATATATGCATTTCTCTTCTGTTGAGTTTGTTGACTCCTGTTTTGTGGCACATTTTGTTGAATTTTTGTAAATATTCCCTGTATATTAGAAAAACATACATGTTCCCTAGATGCCAAGTAAAGGGTTCTTTAGGGCTATCCAATAAACAGTGTTGCTCAAAACTTCTACATTCTACATTTTTTCATTCTGCTTTATCTGTCAGTTATTGAGAAAATATATTAAAATATTCCATTGATTGTGAAATTAAAAATTCATAGTAGTTTGAAGACACATTGTAACATCTATACAGGTGTTTCATTCTACTGAAGTTTCTTTTTAATACTATAAAATATTTCCCAAACCTAAAAATATTTATTTTCTTGGAGCTCCATTTTGATTAATATTGAATATAGCTATAATTTGCCTTGTTTGGTTAGTATTTGCCGTCTATATTTTTATTCCTCCACTATTTTTTCATATAAAGTAGACTTTAAAATTTATATTGAGGTTTGGTTCCAAGATGGCCGAATAGGAACAGCTCCAGTCTATAGCTCCCAGCGTGACGATGCAGAAGACGGGTGCTTTCTGCATTTCCAACCGAGGAATGCAGCTCCTCACCAGCAACAGAACAAAGCTGGATGGAGAATGACTTTGACGAGCTGAGAGAAGAAGGCTTCAGACGATCAAACTTCTCCGAGCTAAAGGAGGAAGTTCGAACGCATCCCAAAGAAGTTAAAAACCTTGAAAAAAGATTAGACTAATGGCTAACTAGAATAACCAATGCAGAGAAGTCCTTAAAGGACCTGATGGAGCTGAAAACCATGGCACGAGAACTACGTGATGAATGCACAAGCTTCAGTAGCTGATTCGATCAACTGGAAGAAAGGGTATCAGTGATTGAAGATCAAATGAATGAAATGAAGCTAGAAGAGAAGTTTAGAGAAAAAAGAATAAAAAGAAATGAACAAAGCCTCCAAGAAATATGGGACTATGTGAAAAGACCAAATCTACGTGTCTGATTGGTGTACCTGAAAGTGATGGGGAGAATGGAACCAAGTTGGAAAACACTCTGCAGGATATTATCCAGGAGAACTTCCCCAACCTAGCAAGGCAGGCCAACATTCAAATTCAGGAAATACAGAGAACGCCACAAAGATACTCCTCGAGAAGAGCAACTCCAAGAGACATAATTGTCAGATTCACCAAAGTTGAAATGAAGGAAAAAATGTTAAGGGCAGCCGGAGAGAAAGGTCGAGTTACCCACAAAGGGAAGCCCACCAGACTAACAGCTGATCTCTCAGCAGAAACTCTACAAGCCAGAAGACAGTGGGGTCCAATATTCAACATTCTTAAAGGAAAGAATTTTCAACCCAGAATTTCATATCCAGCCAAACTAAGCTTCATAAGTGAAGGAGAAATAAAATACTTTACAGACAAGCAAATGCTGAGAGATTTTGTCACCACCAGGCCTGCCCTAAAAGAGCTCCTGAAGGAAGCACTAAACATGGAAAGGAATGACTTGTACCAGCCACTGTAAAAACATGCCAAATTGTAAAGACCTTCGATGCTAGGAAGAAACTGCATCAACTAATGAGCAAAATAACCAGCTAACATCATCATGACAGGATCAAATTCACACATAACAATATTAACCTTAAGTGTAAATGGGCTAAATGCTCCAATTAAAAGACACAGACTGGCAAATTGGATAAAGAGTCAAGACCCATCAGTGTGCTGTATTCAGGAAACCCATCTCATGTGCAGAGACACACATAGGCTCAAAATAAAGGGATGGAGGAAGATCTACCAAGCAAATGGAAAACAGAAAAAGGCAGGAGTTGCAATCCTAGTCTCTGACAAAACAGACTTTAAACCAACAAAGATCAAAAGAGACAAAGAAGGCCATTACATAATGGTAAAGGGATCAATTCAACAAGAAGATCTAACTATCCTAAATATATATGCACCTGACATAGGAGCACCCAGATTCATAAAGCAAGTTCTTAGAGACCTACAAAGAGACTTAGACTCCCACACAATAATAATGGGAGACTTTAACACCCCACTGTCAACATTAGGCAGATCAATGAGACAGAAAGTTACCAAGGATATCCAGGAACTGAACTCAGCTCTGCACCAAGCGGACCTAATAGACGTATACAGAACTCTCCACCCCAAATCAACAGAATATACATTCTTCTCAGCGCCACACCACACTTATTCCAAAATTGACCACATAGTTGGAAGTAAAGCACTCCTCAGCAAATGTAAAAGAACAGCAATTATAACAAACTGTCTGTCAGATCATGGTGCAATGAAACTAGAACTCAGGATTAAGAAACTCACTTAAAACCACTCAACTACATGGAAACTAAACAATTTGCTGCTGAATGACTACTGGGTACATAACAAAATGAAGGCAGAAATAAAGATGTTCTTTGAAACCAACGAGAACAAAGACACAACATACCAGAATCTCTGGGACACATTTAAAGCAGTGTATAGAGGGAAATTTTAGCACTAAATGCCCACAAGAGAAAGTAGGGAAGATCTAAAATTGACAACCTAACATCACAATCAAAAGAACTAGAGAAGCAAGAGCAAACACATTCAAAAGCTAGCAGAAGGCAAGAAATAACTAAGATCAGAGCAGAACTGAAGGAGATAGAGTCACAAAAAACCCTTCAAAAAATCAATGAATCCAGGAGCTGGTTTTTTGAAAAGATAAACAAAATTGATAGACCGCTAGCAAGACTAATAAAGAAGAAAAGAGGGAAGAATCAAATAGACGCAATAAAAAATGATAAAGGGGATATCACCACCGATCCCACAGAAATACAAGCTACCATCAGAGAATACTATAAACACCTCTATGCAAATAAACTAGAAAATCTAGAAGAAATGGATAAATTCCTCGACACAGTCACCCTCCCAAGACTAAACCAGGAAGAAGTTAAATCTCTGAATAGACCAATAACAGGCTCTGAAATTGAGGCAATAATTAATAGCTTACCAACCAAAAAAAGTCCAGGACCAGATGGATTCAGAGCTGAATTCTACCAGAGGTACAAGGAGGAGCTGGTACCATTCCTTCTGAAACTATTCCCATCAACAGAAAAAGAGGGAATCCTCCCTCACTCATTTTATGAGGCCAGCATCATCCTGATACCAAAGCCTGGCAGAGACACAACAAAAAAAGAGAATTTTAGACCAATATCCCTGATGAACAGCGATGCAAAACTCCTCAATAAAATACTGGCAAACTGAATCCAGCAGCACATCAAAAAGCTTATCCACCACGATCAAGTGGGCTTCATCCCTGGAATGCAAGGCTGGTTCAATATACGCAAATCAATAAATGTAATCCAGCATATAAACAGAACCAATGACAAAAACCACATGATTATCTCAATAGATGCAGAAAAGGCCTTTGACAAAATTCAACAGCCCTTCATGCTAAAAACTCTCAATAAATTCGGTATTGATGGGATGTATCTCAAAATAATAAGAGCTAACTATGACAAAGCCACAGCCAATATCATACTGAATGGGCAAAAACTGGAAGCATTCCCTTTGAAAACTGGCACAAGACAGGGATGCCCTCTCTCACCACTCCTATTCAACATAGTGTTGGAAGTTCTGGCCAGGGCAATCAGGCAGGAGAAATAAATAAAGGGTATTCAATTAGGAAAAGAGGAAGTCAAATTGTCCCTGTTTGCAGATGATATGATTGTATATCTAGAAAACCCCATGGTCTCAGCCCAAAATCTCCTTAAGCTGATAAGCAACCTCAGCAAAGTCTCAGGATGAAAAATCAATGTGCAAAAATCACAAGCATTCCTATACACCAATAACAGACAAACAGAGAGCCAAATCATGGGTGAGCTCCCATTCACAATTGCTTCAAAGAGAATAAAATACCTAGGAATCCAACTTACAAGGGATGTGAAGGACCTCTTCAAGGAGAACTACAAACCACTGCTCAATGAAATAAAAGAGGATACAAACAAATGGAAGAACATTCCATGCTCATGGATAGGAAGAATCAATATCGTGAAAATGGCCATACTGCCCAAGGTAATTTATAGATTCAATGCTATCCCCATCAAGCCACCAATGACTTTCTTCACGGAATTGGAAAAAACTACTTTAAAGTTCATATGGAACCAAAAAAGAGACTGCATTGCCAAGACAATCCTAAGCCAAAAGAACAAAGCTGGAGGCATCACGCTACCTGACTTCAAACTATACTACAAGGCTACAGTAACCAAAACAGCATGGTACTGGTACCAAAACAGAGATATAGACCAATAGGACAGAACAGAGCCCTCAGAAATAATGCCGCACATCTATAACTATCTGTTGACAAACCTGACAAAAACAAGAAATGGGGAAAGGATTCCCTGTTCAACAAATGGTTAGCCTAAACCTAGGCAATACCATTGAGGACATAGGCACGGGCAAGGACTTCATGACTAAAACACCAAAAGCAATGGCAACAAAAGCCAAAATTGACAAATGGGATCTAATTAAACTAAAGAGCTTCTGCACAGCAAAAGAAACTACCATCAGAGCGAACAGGCAACCTACAGAATGGGAGAAAATTTTTGCAATCTACTCATCTGACAAAGGGTTAATATCCAGAATCTACAAAGAACTCAAACAAATTTACAAGATAAAAACAACCCCATCAACAAGTGGGCGAAGGATATGAACAGACACTTCTCAAAAGAAGACATTTATGCAGCCACCAGACACATGAAAAAATGCTCATCATCACTGGCCATCAGAGAAATGCAAATCAAAACCACAATGAGATACCATCTCACACCAGTTAGAATGGCGATCATTAAAAAGTAAGGAAACAATAGGTGCTGGAGAGGATGTGGAGAAACAGGAACACTTTTACACTGTTGGTGGGGCTGTAAACTAGTTCAACCATTGTGGAAGACAGTGTGGCGATTCCTCAGGGATCTAGAAGTAGAAATACCATTTGACCCAGCCATCCCATTACTGGGTATATAACCAAAGGATTATAAATCATGCTGCTATACAGACACATGCACAGGTATGTTTATTGCAGCACTATTCACAATAGCAAAGACTTGCAACCAACCCAGATGTCCAACAATGATAGACTGGATTAAGACAATGTGGCACATATACACCATGGAATACTATGCAGCCATAAAAAAGGATGAGTTCATGTCCTTTGTAGGGACATGGATGAAGCTGGAAACCATCATTCTCAGCAAACTATCGCAAGGACAAAAAACCAAACACCACATGTTCTCACTCATAGGTGGGGATTGAACAATGAGAACACTTGGACACAGGAAGGGGAACATCACACACCAGGGCCTGTTGTGGGGTGGGGTGAGGGGGAGGGATAGCATTAGGAGATATACCTAATGTAAATGACAAGTTAATGGGTGCAGCACACCAACATGGCACATGTATACATATGTAACAAAGCTGCATGTTGTGCACATGTACCCTAGAACTTAAAGTATAATAAAAATATATATGTATATAAAAAAATAAATAAATAAAAAAAGCTTTAAAAATCAAATTGGGCTAGTCTTAACACGTCAGTCAAATTTGAAAAGGTTCATTTTTATGCAAATAAACTATCAATCTACTAATGAATGGTAAAAACAAATTCAAATTGACATTCTCTGCCTTTAACTAGTCAGTTTCGTCTTTTTACATTTTTGATGATTGCTGATTTATTTAGGTTTATTCAAACTATCTTATTTTGTGCTTTATGTTTTGCTTTTTTTGTGCATATTTTTCTTTTTCTGTTTTTATTAAATTGTTTTGGTTCTTTATCTTCTAAATAATACAAGGGCTAAGACTACTTAAACTATATTCAGTCTTTTAATTTCCATTTTGCATATCATTTTCAGAATTTAGTACAACTTGCTTTTGATATTTCCCAAACTTTTCAATTGCAATTACTATTGTGTTAAAGCCAATATGTTTATATTTTTATATTCATACTTTCTGGCATCACTATTAATTTTTGTATCTCAGTTCTTCTATGTTCAATTTCCTCCTTATACAAACACATCTTAAAAAATATATATAATATACGTGTATATATATATACACACACACATTATATATACATATATATATATATATTTTTTTTTTTTTTTTGAGACAGAGTTTCGCTTTTGTTGCCCAGGCTGGAGTGCAATGGTGCTATCTCGGCTCACTGCAACCTCTGCCTCCTGGGTTCAAGCGATTCTCCTGCTTCAGTCTCCCAAGTAGCTGGGATTACAGGCATGTGCCACCACCACGCCCAGCTAATTTTGTATTTTTGGTAGAGATGGGGTTTCTCCATATCGGTCAGGCTGGTCTCGAATTCACGACCTCAGGTGATCTGCCCACCTCAGCCTCCCAAAGTACTGGAATTACAGGCATGAGCCACCGTGTCCGGCCACACTTTCTGGCTTCTGTGGGGTTGTAGCTCTATCTTCATTTCTGTCATCTGTCTTTCTTATGACCACACATACTTCCTTACACTATTTTTTTTTTTTTTACAGAATGTCTCAATATTTTTAGGAAGTTTTTTTTTCTGCTATCTTAGTCTGTCATGTTGCTGGAACCAGAGGTTTGTAACAACTTCATAATTGCATTCCTTACAGCCAGTCTTGCAAATCTCAAATCTATTTTTACAATTACAGCCAGAAAGATAGTTTTTAAATGCAAATGTCACTCCCCAACTTAAAAATATGTCATGGCCTGTAGGAAAAAGACCAAATCTTTGGCATGACTATAAGCTTTTCCTGTGATACGAATCATGCCTATATCTAAAGCCTTATCCCTTCGCAGTTACTGGCTATAAGGAACTGTTTTTCTGCAAATAAGTCATGTTTGCTCTCATCTCACAGCATTCATATAAGCTGTTCTTTCTGTATAACCCCTCCTTTCAACATTTGGAAACGTTTAACATTTCCAGTTCTTGTTAAACCTTCTGATTTCTGCTTAAATGTTACTTCTTCCAAAGGCCTTCACTGGTCACCTGTGTATACCCTGTGTACACCTTTATAACATCCTCAATCTTGTAATTATCATTCAAGTCTGTCTTTCTGTCTTGGTGCTGAGCTTCATAAAAAGTGAGACTTTGTCTCTCTTGTTCACTATTTTTGCCCTAGCAATTAATCTAGTGCTTGGTATATACTAGGGGCTTAATAAATCCCTGTGAACAAATGCATGAACAAGTTATGCATTCCATTTGTGATTGGAGTTCACTGACCAGAGCTTTGTTTAATATCAGATTGCTGCTATAAGTTTTAAGAACAGAACAGCTCCTTAAGGAAAAGTCTCTTTTAAAACATAAATGATGTGTTGGGAGAATTCTGTTCCTTGAGAAGTGAAGATAAAAGTGAAGTAAAACCCCACATTCCTCTTTCAATTCAGCCAAACAGGTCAGAAGGGAGAAAGACAGGCATGGTTTACAGGACCTCAGTGCAGGCATAGTAATGAGAATTACTCATTCAATCAGTGAGAATGCTTGGGTGAGACAAAGGAATCTTTAAAAGTTGAGCAAGAATAATTTTCTATTTCTTCTGGATCTGTGACCTCCAGCAGGACTTAAAGTAGTGTTAGGACATGCTTCACGGTGTTGCAAAAGAGCAGGCCGTCTTGTCATCAGGCACAGAGTAAACAAGGAATCACAGGACTATGAATCAATAATGCAATTTAGATTTTATAACCATTGTTCATAACCACACACTGCTATCCTTAAAACTATGTCAAGAATCAGGTGTTCATTGACTAGAAGGCCAGAATCTGTAATTGTGTCTAATATGTTTTTATGACCACAAGGAACTTAATTCTATTATCTTTTAACTTTAACAGTAATCTTTCACTGCTTTTGCAGATAACGTTCTTTCATGCTAGTATTCACTTTTACTGCAGGATATAGCAGCAAGCCTTGTTTAAAATATTTTCTTCTATGTCATGATCCGGAATGAATAATTACTTTCAATATGTAAGTTGTCTTTGCTTGTTTTCTTTTATCCTCCGCTTCCTGTTTATTTATTTTATTTATTTATTTATTTATCTATTTATTTATTGGTGGAGACAGAATGAGAGAAAGCATAGAGAATGAAGTGTTTTCTTTTCAGGGTCTACTCATTATTGTTTCCCCATCAAGTCCATCACGAAGATAAAAAGCAAAGTCAGAAAGAATAATTGCAAGAGATAAAAATAAAACACAAACATTTCAAAAATGATTATTCTTATCTTCTAAAGGAAGCCCTGACATACTAGTTTTTGGTATAAAAATATGCCCATTTACACAGCTCTCTGTAGATAGAGCCACTACTGCATGGGAAGTAGATGTCAGAGAATTTTCAAGTCTGTTAGCAGGAGGGAATAGATTATGAAAAGCAATTCCCAAGGCAGTGATGGCTCTAAATATTCACCCTTCACTTCAAATAGCTCACCAAATATTGATTGAATTTTCTTAGTTAAATTTTCTACTTAGTGCCTGAATTATGATAATGAAGATTTAATTAGGTTATGAAAGCTATGTTTTAAGAATTCAAATTCCTTTGGGAGGATTAAGAAATCATTCTCACGTTAGTGTGAATTAGTTCAGACTGCTTTTAACTGAACTATTATCTCAACTTCACAGAGCTTTGATGGGGAAGGGGTGAAACATTTGGGACAGCATGAAGACATGGATATTCTTAAGAAAGGGGAATAAAGGGCAAAACAAAGTTCACAAAGGGAAATGAAAGAGTACTAAAAGTAAAGGCATTTTCTTCTTCCTTCTAACACCTAAACTGATCCAGCCTTCAGACACGTATTATTGATATTAGCGTCTAGCTAAATCATGGTTTATTAGTCTTTTAGAACTGCCTAGATGAGCTAACTGCCATTTAAATATATTAGAAAGATATTCTGAGATTCAAATCTTGATGTATAACTATACTTTTGACATTATAGGTTGTTCATATGTTGTTATGTACATCATTTTACATCAGTTTGGAATAAAAATTTTGAGACAACATACAATAAGATACCTAGATGCTATAAATATTATTAAAAGTCTTAATGTATTGACTTCTTGGCTTATTGGGAAGAAAAAACCTCTCTCCAGTACTTTTCCAGACTAATGCTTATTTTTGGAGAGTATGCTGTTAGAGTCTACTGACATTTATAAGAAAGAAAAAAAATCCTATATTTCTCAGTTTTTAAGTTGTCACCTATCAGACACATAGTGAGGAACAAAATATAAGTTATAAAAATGGCTCTGAATGACCACAGTATCAATATTTCTGCCCTTTGCTCACAGGAAAGCTACTCAGAGTAACCTCAACACTTATTTACTCTTACTTTACATACACTTCCAATAAGATGGATTTTCTGGCTTTCAAGTCCAAAATAGCTTGGAGGTAGTGAATTAAGGTTGGGGGTGGGGGTGGTATGGGAAGAGGTCCTTATTTAACCTCATAGAACTCTGTAAGTGGCATATTACTTTCAGAGAAGTTATCTTTATTTTCCTTAAAATTATTTTTGAAGCTTACCTATCTTGAGTGAATTCTCTTTTGCAGCCTCAGGACTGAACACTTTATATGTTACTTAATTACATCTCGGTCAGTTCAATGAGTTAGAAATTACTGTCTGCATATTCTCTCCTACTTCCTCTCCCTGTATCCTCATAGAACTAAGTGGTAGGCTAGGGATATTTATTGCATCAGTGTAATATTTGAAGGGTAAGGCTATAGTTCAAATAACATCCAGGGTATCATTTTTGGAAAATTTTTATGTCATGATTGCTGCTAAGAGCATATATATATGTATCATATATATGTATCATATATATGTATCATTCATATGTATCATTCATATGTATCATATGTATGTATCATTCATATGTATCATATGTATGTATCATTCATATGTATCATATGTATGTATCATTCATATGTATCATATGTATGTATCATTCATATGTATCATACGTATGTATCATATGTATGTATCATATATGTATCATACGTATGTATCATATGTATCATACGTATGCGTCATACGTATGTATCATATATGTATCATATATATGTATATATGTATCATATATGTATCATATGTATCATATGTATCATATATGTATCATATATGTATCATATGTATCATAGGTATCATATATATGTATCATATGTATCATATATATGTATCATATGTATCACATGTATCATATATATGTATCATATATATCATATGTATCATATATATGTATCATATATATGTATCATATGTATGTATCATATATATATCATATATGTATCATATATGTATCATATATATGTATATGTATGTATCATATATATGTATATGTATGTATCATATGTATGTATATGTATGTATCATATGTATGTATCATATGTATCATATGTATGTCTCATATGTATGTATCATATGCATCATACGTATGCATCATACGTATCATATATGTATCATATATATGTATATGCATGTATCATATATGTATATGCATGTATCATATATATCATATATATGTATATGTATGTATCATATATGTATCATATATGTATATGTATGTATCGTATATGCATCATATATGTATCATATGTATGTATCATATATATGTATCATATGTATGTATCATATACGTATATGTATGTATCATATATATGTATCATATATGTATATGTATGTATCATATTTATGTATCATATATGTATATGTATCATATATATGTATCATATATGTATATGTATGTATCATATGTGTCATATATGTATATGTATGTATCATATATGTATCATATATATGTATCGTATGTATCATATATATGTATCATGTATGTATCACATGCATGTATCATGTGTATGTATCATGTGTATGTATCATATATATATATTTATATATATATATATCATGACACCTCCCCCACACCAACCCAATGGCAGATGGCTTTGCCTCTCATAAGAGAGGAGTCCAGAACATGGGTAGATCTCCTCTCTGCCTCATAGTAACAGCTAATCACCACCTTGTGCTTATGCAGTTTGTTCTACCCTCAAACTTAGGCGGAACTTGCAAGCCTGCACCATGGATAAGTGGCTCTCTTGAGTTTCATAACCTCATATAAATTAATTAAGAGAAACAATGCCATACAAAAATGGGGAAAATATATGAACAAGCAATTCTCAAAATAGGAAATATAAATGTTTTATATATATCGAATTTTCTCAAGTTTGCTAGTAATCAAGGAAATGCCAATTAAAATGTATTCACATTATTTGTGGTGAGGATACACTGATGTTACGAGTATACATTTGTATAAAAATTTGGAGATCAATTTGGCAATGCATATTAATGTAATACACATCTTATTGCTCAGACATTCTATTCCTAGGTCTAGATCCTGGAGAAACTCTCACACATGCACATACAAACACTAATACAATAGAAGGAATTTAATGATAGCAAAAATTAGAAAGAACCCAAATGTCAATCATGAAGAGAATGTTTCCGTTATTGCTTATCCATCCAACAGAAGAATCTACAGCAGTGGAAAAATCCACTACACCTATCCATGCGGATGAAAATCTACATTTAATAGTAAATGAGGAAAGCAAGTTTCAGAAGTATATGAACAGTATACCATTTATATAAAATTTAAAACATTAGATAATATTCAAACAAATACACATAAATAAGAAAATGTAGAGAAATCCATCAAATCCTAGGCTATGTTTACCTATGGAAGGGGGTGTGAAGTTTCTTCAAGGAGACATCAAGTGGGGGCATGAATTTTTTGGGTATATATCATTTCCTAAGTTGGGTGAGATGTACATATGTGTTTGTTATATTATTTCAATACCTTTCATATAATTGAAATATTTCAAAATAAATTTAAAGCTTATAAAACACTGGTTACTGCTAAGTCACAAAAATTCACACATCAAAGCCAAAATTATATTTAATGAATATCATCAAGATGACAAAAAAGTTGCATTTCACTAGCATTCAATTACTTGCTAACTTCAACTGATAAAGATAAAGCTGAATTTCAAGAAATGGAAAATGCATACATTCAGACACAAAAGGGCACACATACACAGCTACACAGTCACCTGTACACTCAGGAGTAGATGAGGTCATACATTTTGTGTATGAAAAGCATGTGTATTACTCTTTGAAAAATACTGTATATAGGTAGGCATCTTAATGGCTATTAAAAGTGACAATCAGCCCCAAGGAAGAGGACAAAATAATACATTAACCAGAAACAAAGGGTAAAAACTCAGGAGCAGGGAGTCATTTAATGTAAGACCAAATGTTTATGATAATAACATTATTATAGTCACCACTTTTATTGTCAATAAATCTGTCCATTTTTTGCCCATCTTTCTATTCCCCTAACACTACATTTTAACCAATCAAGCAATGTTACATTCTTCACTTAATTACTTCTGGAAGCCAGACCATCAATATCATACCCTTCTTGTTCATGCAGATGCATTGATTATTCTTAAGTGAGCTGATGAAGAAGGGTGAGGAGAGAATTCTACACCTTAAACTTTCATCTCTCATCCCTTCTTGTCCATGTGAGCAAGGAGAAATGGCTAAAAAAATGAATTCCACAGTCTTTTTACTGACCTCATCATAGGAAGAATCTATAGAAGCATTTTTCTATAGCAGAGCATTAAGTTATTTGTGTAGATTGTTTTTTTCAAAGAGAAGTTTTTTTAGGGAACTAAAATAACTCACAATTTGTGCTTAAGATCATCAAGATTTCCTACTGTAGAAATTTCTTAGTTTTTTGCATGTCTGATATTACATCTTCTCTTACTCATATATAAACTTCTAGGTTCAGCCCACCAACTTTATGTAATTAGACAGGTTAAATTCATTTAGTGTTAACTTTTAGTTTCTTTTGACTTCTGGAGGCTGTGATTCTAGTTTTCAGCAGCAATGGGCCCTAGGCTATCAGGTCTGGGAATAAAATTGTTTAGTTTTCATTGTCAATACTTGTCTTTTAGGTGGATATAATGAGTAAAGCTAGTGGTTGTGTCCACCCAGACAGGGTCTTTCCAAGGAATACACGTCCTGTGGATCTTTGCCCTGAAATAAGGGAGTAACTGGTTATAGTACCAGTTGAAGCCTTCGATTAACACCTCTACTTTATAATGTATCACTGACAAAACTGGTGATTGTAGGTTTTTATTTGCATGCTTGAGCTTTGTAAATAGCCCTTGAGAATACCATACTATTTAATGTATTTTGTTAGTGATAGCCTAGATATCAAAGAAAGAATCCCTGGGCAGAAGTAGGAGTGGATGAGAGAATAGTGCTAGTTTGAATTTTAATGAAAACAGCCAATAGAATGCAAGTTGATTTTATCCATTAATAGCCAAAAAAGAAAACCCAAAAGATGCATGTGTAAAATTTTAACACATCTTTACACCGTTTGGAAATACCATGCATTCCTTTAGAGGTAAATTAGACTCACACAAATTGGATAGTGAATAATTTTTGGAGAGAGAGGGCAGTGGGTCTATGGTTGTGTTTGAGGCTTAGCTGGAAGCTGTCCCTTTTTATAAGAAGGTGACGCAGAAGAAGGCTAAGTGAAGTGCTGTAGAAGACAGTCTTCCTTGTAGGCCATATATGATGCTACCTGAATGGGGAGCTGCTTGGCTGATGGATTGGTTATAGCTGGCCTCTGGTAGACTTGGGCAGCCTTTGGACTTCTGTAAATGTAATGCCTCCTTTATTCTGAAGCTGTTTTCCTGATGCTCTGGAAATTTCTACCTGTCCCCCTATTTATTAACAGTCCAAAATCTAGCCAACTCTTTACCTTTATTCAAACCATGATCAGGGTTGTTGAATGTTTTCCTTATTAACACTGTACTTATCCTCTTAGTAAGGGTGACCAGATTTTTTATTTTTTTTTCATTTTGAAAGTTCCATAGGTAGGGTAAGACTTAATCATCTGGTCATTGTAAAAGAGTAATAGAAAATCACCAATAAAATACTAATGACACATTCAGAGGGAAGGTAGGAGGGAAGAGAGTGAAGAGGGAGGGCGAGAAAGAAAGGCTATTGGTAATAGAAGAACAAAAGTATGGACTCCAGTCCCTCTCTATCTTTCATCATTTGGAACATCATTACTATACATGTGAATATCATTTTATCAGAAAAAAATCTCTGTGGGTTTTTCTCTACCATGTGATTTTGACCACAGAGGTTTTCCATTTGCTTCTCAAATGGAAATATTCAAAGCATAGCTGTCCAAGACAATGCCTTATTGAATCCTATTTTAATAATGCCAATAAGATTTTTACCCAAAATGAAAGGTTCAGAGAAACAGCATTTCCTTGTCTGACAAGCCCAACTAAGCCCTCTACTCTCCTCCATGCTATTTATAGCCATGTTCCCTAAGGGCCCTGGTTCTTAAGCACTTTTCGGCTAGAGTTTTGCATATCCTCCCAGCCCACCTCTGATTTCAGCCCCAGCTGAATCAGATGGAGAGTTCTATACAAGCCCAGTTACAACTGTGTTGATAATGCCCCACCCAAAATGCGGATTACATATCTTCCTGATTTTTATGAGGATATGACCTGACCCTGTGGTTGCCCATACGGCCCATTAGTTCAGGAGAGTCAACATCCGAGGGGGCAACCTTTCTAACATAAGTGGACAATTCTTAGAGGCATTTATATGCTTCTCAGAAAATCCCAGTGAAATCAAGCTTCAATGCTTATAGCAGTAACTTGGGCAACTTATTGTTATATTGGTTTTCTTCTTTCCTTGTCCCACTCCCACTTCCTTGTTCTTGCTTTCTGGGATCATTTCCACACCCAAATCCTTGCTTCAGTCTTTTCTTGGGGAAAACCTAAAGTACAATAGGACCTTGAAAAAATGTATATTATATGCAATGTAGTTCAAAAGCCTGCTATAGGAAAATTAATAAATGTTTTCAACCAAGCCTTTCCTGCAATTATCTACTGACATAACCATCATTGGTAAAAACAAGATTGCTGATATTCTAGATTGCAATGTATAGTCTGTCTAATTCATCAGGAAACTCAAAAGGAGGCTAACCTTGACCATATCTAGATAGAGGGTAATTATCTTCTTTTGGAAATACAATATGCAAAGTCCAAAGTCTTTAAAGCCCAGAGTAAGCAGGGAAGATTGTTTTCAAAAGACAGGAATGGGAACAATTGAAGACTTCAGGACCAAGAAACCACCCTCAGTGAAGTTTTGTCCTTGACATCCCAGCCTTCCATTGTATGCTCCTTTCATACTTCTCTTCTCAAGGCAGTTCCACCATTGTCTTCCTCACTTTTTCTACCATGGAGGAAAAGTGATCTAATAAAATAACTGAAAACAAATGCTTTGGTGAATCACCCTTTTTATGTTAGCCATAAATTTCAATAGATATTTATGTTTTCAGGCTTACATTTTTAAGATATATTTCATTATTTAAAAAAAGACACAAACCTGCTGCACTTATTTGTATGTGTTGCTACCATGCAGGGGTGGTAATATACTAATAATCTATTGCTTATGCTATCCTAGGACTTATACAAAATGAAGAGATTCTTCTTTCTTTCGCAAAACATATAACTGACTGGTGACCACCTAAAAGAGCTAGTTAAAACTGTGTTATTACAAGTTGAATTTTTAAAATATTGGTAGTGTTTAATTCCAAAAGTACACATTCTTATTTTCTTACTAAAATTTTTTGGTTTATATTTGTCCTTAATCTTACTGCCATATTTTACTGAGAGTTACTTTATAACCAACTCATCCAAAAATTCCAGGCCAACTTCGTGTCAAAACTTCCTAACATAATTTTGTATTATTTAACATTAGGGGAAGCTGAGTGAAAGACATTTGGGAACTCTCTGTACTATCTTTACAACTATTCTGTAAATCTAAAATTATTTCAAAACAAAGCATTTCTTTTGTGCATTGTTGTTTTTAAGCCTTCTTCGGTGATCTTCATTTGTCAATGTCTTGACAATGGATTGAATGTTCTATCTGAACTTTATTACCTTATCTTTCTTCTCTCTTCCTTTCTGAGACAAAAGACATGAGCCAAAGATTATATAGTCAAGTAGGTGTACTTTTTATGTCAGTAGTATGTATTCTTGTGAGAGGTTCCCTTTTCATTAAGAAGGGGAAAATGGCCACTCCTCTAAAACAGAGAGCATGAGATGGCTTGTACTCCTCAGTAGAAATCTAGCTGCTGCTTGAGATACGTGTACAATATTTTTTCTCTCCCCCTCATATTGAACAACAAGTTCAAACTGAAGAATAATAATAGATATAACTTTTTTTATTATAAGGATTCTTTAGAACTGATTTCTTCAAAGCCTTTCATTGTTATCAGAAAAAAATAAAGAAAAAAATGTACTCAAAGAGTTTAGGCATAAGTGCAAATTAGTGCCAGCATATGCTTTCCAATCATGTTTCCATTTTGTAAACAGAACTACTGAGAGTAAAATTTGGCATAAATGGGTGAATTTCAAGTTTTGTTAAAGTGATATCTAAATTCAGGTAACAGGATGGAGATCTTCTAGGCATTTGATATATACAATATTAATTACTACATGGGTAATATAAAAGCCTGGCTCTTATACCAAAACATGTCTGAAATTGGCCATTTTTCTTTCTTTTTTCCCCTTGGCATAGGCCTCTTATTAATCACATATATTATTCATTCAAGAGAAGGACCATTTTAGTACTGCCTTCCGAATATTATACAATGTGTTTCTAGGAAACATCAACATATATGGGATCTTGTTTTATAAAGCTTCATTTTGCACTAGGAATTTGAGGGCAGTTTGTTGTCAGAGTCTCTGTTTCTCTTTGGCTTAAAGGCTCAATGAACTATTCCTGGATAGTGTCCCCTTTGGTAGACTTTCCAGTAATATCTAAGTAAGAAGAGAAGATAATTCTCACTGCCTTCTGGAGTGCACTATGACTCATGTTATTGGGCAGACTAAAGGTGTTCTTGTAAAGCTTTTCTTAATTGAGCTCTCTTTTTTGGTACTCCTTCAGTAGCTTCTAGATTTTGGATTCCGTTAAGGTTTCTCTTCAACTTGAATTGCTTCTAGGTTCAAGGTTTGTGGTTTATTTCCTACCAACTTCTAGAGCACAGAGTGCATTGGCAAACGACCTTTTCGAGACCTTTCATCTCTTCTTTTCTCTTTTTTAGAGTTTGATTTTTTAAATTAACAGATAAAATTTTGTGTATTTATCATGTACAACATGATATTAAGTGGCGTCATCACAAAAATGACAATGTAAATTAGTTATATTTAGTTATTCCACAATATATATATATATTCTTCTTTCCTCTCTGTATGGGGCTAATTTATTAACTGCTTAAGAATGCTGTTGAACCTTGAATCTGCCGATGCCACTGGGCAACTTATTGATGTTTCTGTCCTCTATAAATGTCACAACATAATTCTTATCTCTCAAAAATTTAACATAAAAATACATAAATACACATATATTAGAAATGTATTATATATATATTTCCCACATCACATGACTGGTGCTCTATAATCTTCAGTTTTCTTGCCCTTCTGAATAGGCTCCTGCTTCTTTTAAAAAAAATCATTTTAGCTTAAAATTTTTTTAATTAAAAAATATTTTGGTTACATCATAGTTGTACATGTTTATGGGGTACATGTGATATTTTGATATAAGCATACAATGTGTAACGATCAAATCTGGATAACTGAGATATCTGTAACCTCAAATATTTATCATTTCTTTGTGTTAGAGACATTGCAAATCATCTCTTGTAGCCATTTTGAAATATACAATAATTCACTGTTAACTATAGTCACCCTACTGTGCTACCGAACATTAGATCTTATTCCTGCTATCTAACTGTAGTAGTGGGGGCTCCTCTTGGTCCCTCGGTAGCTCCAGGCAGTGTCCCTGAAGAGCCCTTGAGCTTGACCCACTGTGTGGCAAATTTTTGCCCAGATGTCTCACTTTTAAGCAACAAATGCAAAAACCGTTTAGAGGACTAGTGGAGCAAGCCTAGATAATGCCAGGCAGTGTTTCTCCAAAGCTGATACTTCATCTGATGTACCTGGAAAACTAGTCCTACAATTGCCCAAGGGAGTCTGCTAAGTAGGCAGCAACAGTTGTCATTTCCTCTGCAGTACTGAACTTTGTTACCAGAGGAACTTGGCAACAATCCCAATCCCATCTTCCAATGCTTCCCTTTAGGCCTCGGGTTACAAAGTTTAAAATGAGTCACAGATATTCTCTATTTACTCAAGACTAAAAGTCCAAATTAAGCCCAATAATGATGCTGGTTTGTTTTGCATAAAGACATTTTCTATTATGGGTCATGTAGTCTATGTTGTAGTTCTATCCAACCCCATCTGCCCTTCCTTTCATTGTTCTTTACTTGATGATGCTGGTTTGTTTTGCATAAAGACATTTTCTATTATGGGTCATGTAGTCTACGTTGTAGTTCTAGCCAACCCCATCTGCCCTTCCTTTCATTGTTCTTTACTTGAGTTATATTGACCTTTCAAATTATAGCTTAAAATTTATCTGCTCCACCAAACCTCTCTAGATCACTTATCCCAGCCTGACATTATGTGTTCCTTCTCTGAATTGCTATTGGTATAATCATGCATTAGCTTGTGATTGTCATCATCCTCTCAAAGGGCCATTTAAAATTATCATTGTTATTTAATGAGAAACATGTATATTGCTTATTTTCTCTTCAAAAGATGATGAACTCTTTGAGAGAATGCATTATGCTTTTTTGTGTTTGCCATAATGCCTACAACAAATATCTGAGTGAACGTGATGTTTTAATTTATATAATGGCTTCTTCAAATACCTGCACACCATCAACTCTAAAAGATTTCTGCCGCTGGAGAAGGTCAAGTGGATATGAATAATCAAACATTTGAATTTTTCAAAAATCATTTATATTGAATTTTAGAAGATATTACTGGAAGTTGCATTCTTTCTCTAATAAATGATTTATTTACAAAATAGTAGACTATAGACTTAGACTATATTTTTCACAGCTTAGCTCAAACTAATACTGATTCACCTATATTCACTAAGTGCCTACAACAGAAGGCAGGAAGATGGGTCCCAGTCAAGGACCAGTTATAAGAAGCGTCTAGAGATCCTGATTTACTTGATAATCCATATGATATCAACAACTATATTGGTTTATATACTTACACATTGGCCATATTTCCCTTGTATTTCTCACTGACATCAATTGGTAGTGACTAAGAGTAGCACATAGCCTACATTCATATTCTGGCTCTCCCATTTTCTAGTGTAATAATGGACAAGGTACCTCGGTATACTTAAAGGTCCTTTTGAGCTAAATGGGTATAATGATAGCACATATTTCATGAGATTATTTGTATGAGAGTTAGATATGTAAAATTCTTAGCACAATGTCTGATATATAGTAAATTATCAAATGTTAGGGAATAAGCAAGTGCAAGTACACAAGAGAGGAAGAGAGTCACTGGAAGTTCTATTCTTTGTCTTTGTTCTAGAATCAAAAGTATAAAGAAAACCAGAAGAGGAGGAGTGGCCAAGTGTAAAGAGCACCCAAGCTATCTTCTCCTCTTGGAAAAGAATGAGGGGAAAGAAAAGCAGTGCAAAGCATGGGCAAGAGCAAGTCATATATGGATACAAAATTCCCAGGGGTAAGCCATTGCTTCAGGGAGGGAGCTGTCAGCTCTTGGAGGCTACATGTAAACTTTGTAGAGTGGCTCAACCAACAGGGAATGTTTGACTTCCAGAGGCTTCCAGAGGGTGGATTAAGTTGGTTCATAGACTAACTGATGACACCATTGAACTCCTGCTATGAGGCTGGGGCCAGCAACCCAAAGAACATTTAAGGGAACAAAGGTTTGGGTGGGGAGATGAGACACAGACACAAACAGACTCAATAGTAACTTGAGGTAAGAGGAATGTGAAAAAAGAGGAAGAAAGAATTCAAGCTATGATTTAAACAGTACAAAATCAGGGCTACAGGGAGAAGATATCACCAAGGTCACTGAGAGGAAGCTGCTTAGTAAAGGAATGATTTGAACTGGGCATTGAAGGTTGAGTAAGAGGTTAATTTAAGCATACCGTAGCAGTGTGTTATAGTAGAAGGAAACTTGCTCTAGTTTCAAATAGGCCTGGGATAGAAGCCAGGCTCCACCCCTCACCAGCTGCATTTCCTGAATAATACATACTTTTAAGACTATTATAGAGATATTTATTAAGTACCTAGTAAAGTGTCTGACTTACAGTAGAGACCCAATACAGCTACTATTGGTAACAATAGAGTGTTGGAGTATTTTTTATAAGGATGCAGCCTTGAGTACTGGTCAGCACAGCTGTTTCACATTTCTTCTGTGTCACTCTGGGTAGCAGTGGTAAATTTCTGCAGGAGTTTCAGTGCTCACCTCCCTGGAAATCCCATAGAGAAAGAACACAGACCTCATTCAGAGTATCCAGAGGCCCATGACAGAAGCAATTGAACAGGCTCGAACCAGTGGCTACAGCAAACTTCAAAGACAGTGTCTTTGGAAGGGCTGATCTATGTCAAATTGTACATATGGGGCACTTTGCCTTCATTTTTCGCTCCTTATTCTCCTTCAATCCCTTTCTTCCTTCCTTTGTTCCAAGGTGCAATGTAGACCTCAAACTGGTTTGCCCTTCCTATGAATAGGTAAAGGCAACAGTCTGATCAGACTCCCAAACACCAATATTTAAGTGGTTTATTAATTAACTCCTCTCACAGATATTGGTATTTAAAATATTTCAAGCAATGGGCAATGTTCAATCTAAATCATGCATATCTGAGAGTAAGAATTTGGGTATCAGCAACCAGCAAATGGATGAGGTTGGGAGTAGGGTGGTTATAACCAGAGCTACTGAATTCATTTCATGTAGAGAAAAGCATGGTGGAAAGAAATGTTTGACATTTAGAATTGCGGGAACTACCTTAAAATTTCAACTCTGGTACTTTTTAGATACTGATTATTTTCAAGTAATTTTACTTGCCTATTCTCATTTTCTCAAATGAGTAATAGGAATAATAATCATTATCTTATACAGGATATAAGACAGTGAGACAAGCACTTCTTGAATTGAATGTGCATACAAACTACTTGGGCATCTTGTTAAAATACAGATTCTGATTTAAGAAGTCTGGGGTGGGGCCAAAGGTTCTGCATTTCTAACAAGCTCTCAGGTGGTGACAATGCTGCTGGTCTGGGGACCACATTTTGAGTAGCAAGGGGCCATTAGATAATGTGATTAATGCACCCTTGGAGGGATCATTTATACCAGCCCTAGCCAGAGGGGAATTGCCCATCCCAGCAGTTGGAACTTCAGTTTCAGTAAGCCTTGCCACTGTGGGCTAAAATGCTCTGGGGTTCTAAAAAAACTTGAAAGGCTATCTAAGCCACAAGGACTGCCATTCCTAGACAAGCCCTAGTGCTGTGCTGGGCTCAAGCCAGTGGACTTGGGGAGCACACAAACTACTGAGTCACCAGCCTGGGTGGCTAAGGGAATGCTTGCATCACACCTCAACCTCAGGCAGTGCAGCTCACAGCTCCAAAAGTGACCTTCTCCTTCCACCTGAGGAGAGAAGAGGAGAGGGAAGAGTAAAGAGGACTTGGTCTTGCAACATAAATACCAGCTCAGTGATGTGAAGTTAAAATCGGGTACTGTGATTGCTCACCTGATTTTTGGTTCTTCTGAAGGTGCTTTCTTGTGTAGATAGTTGTTACACTTAGCGTTCCTGCAGGGAGGACAACTGATGGAGGTTTCTATTCCACCATCTTGCTCCCCCTCCCAACAGTATGTACTAATTTTGACTGACTTCTTTCACTCAACATACTTGTTTTGAGATTTATCCATGGTGTTATGTGTTTAGTGTTTTATTGCTGAGTCCCTTTTATGAGTATATCATAGTTTATTTATGAACCAATGAAAAACATTTTGGTTTATGTCAATTTTGGGCTATCACAAATAAAAGTCCCATGATAGTCTTTGTATAGACATGTATTTTTTTTATTGGATAAATATGTAGGAGTAGAATGGCCAGATCATATGGTAGGTTTCTGTTTAACTTGTTAAGAAATTGTGAAATTGCTCTCCATTCACATCCTTGCCAATACTTGGTATGTTCAGTCTTTGTTACTTTAGATCTTTGAATAAGTGCATGGTAGTATTTCAGTGTGGTTTTAATTTTTGTGTCCTTGATGATCAATGATATTGAGCATCTGTTTATTGCTTAGTTGTTACCTGTATATCTTCTTTGATGAAGAGTCTGTTCAATCTTTTGCCCATTTTATATTGGGATTTATGTTTACCTCTTACTGAGTTTGGGAGTTCTTTATATATTCTGGGTAAAGGTATTTTATTGGAGAAATTATTTGTAAATATACAGCAAAAATTTCAGTAGATCTGGAGGTGAATAAGAACTAGACTCTGTTTATAGGAGCTGACAGGCCAATGAAGGGGTCAGTACAATAAAACATAATCACTGAAGACTTTGGAGGCTGTATTAGTTCCTTCTCACAGTGCTATGAAGAAATACCCAAGACTGGGTAATTTATAAAGGAAAGAGGTTTGACTCACAGTTCCATGTAGCTGGGAAGACCTCAGGAAACTCACAGTCATGGCAGAAGGAGAAGCAAACACGTCCTTCTTCACAAGGCAGCAGGAGAGAGAAGTGCCAAGCAAAGGGGGAAAAGCCCCTTATAAAACCATGAGATCTTGTGAAAACCCACTCCAGTATCTCGAGAACAGCATGAGGGTAACCAACCCCATGATTCAACTACCTCCCATTTGGTCCCTCCCACAACACGTGGGGATTATGGGAACTGCAGTTCAAGATGAGATTTGGGTTGGGAAACAGCCAAACTATATCAGAGGCTATAATTAAGGCTCTTGTAGAGTGCCATGTGAGTATAAAGGAGAGTATAATAGATTTTTTTCTAGGAGAGTTTGGAAAGATTTCTCAGAGGAGGTGGCCTTAAAGCTTTGTTTTGAAGGGTGAAGAGTTGGGTAGGTAGAGAACCTCTGCTAAAAATTTAAAAAAAAATTATTCTGGGCAAGGAGAATCTGTGCAAAGGCAAGAAGGTGGATTTGGCAACCATGAGTTCTGAATGACCAAGGGGGAATGGGGGTTGGGAGTGGCAGGGACAATGAAAAGAGGTAATGAGAAGAAGGAAGGCTGAGTTTAGATTGTCAGATTATGGAGTGCTTAGTAGATCAGGCTTAAGAATCCGAGCTTCATCTTTAAAGCAATAGGGTTCTTGTTGAAGGGTTTTATGCAGCAGAACAAAATGGTCATATTTGCATTTTAAGAAAATGCCCTGCAGTGATGGCAAAGGATTAGAAGAAGATGAAAAATTCAGAAAAAAGGACAAGAACCCAAACAAAGTAGGAATAGTAGGGACAGAGAGAAGAGGGAGTAGATTCTCAAAACATTTAAGAGGAATACTAGATGTTGGTGAGTGTTTAGATATTAGAAATGAGGCATGTGGTAGTATATAGGAAGGCTCCTAGATTTTAGTGGAGATAATGGGGTGATCTGGGAGCACATCAGTCATGCCCAGGAATAGAAATAGGAGAGGTGGGTAGTATTATTAGTTTAGCTTGTATGATCCATTTATTTATTCAACACATTTTTACTGACTGTCCACTGGGAATATAGAGATCAAGACAGATACTGTGCTAGCCTTCGTGGAGTAAAAAGTTTAGCATGGAAGAGAGAAAATAAAATAATCTCATAAATATAAAATATAAAACAATGGGCTCTGAATTGCTTAAGGTAAAATAATAGGAGTTTGGATAGTGCACCAAGGTAGACCTAATATAGTCTGAGTCTCAAGAAACACTATATTGAAGAAGTAAAGCTTAAGAGATCTGAAGAAAGTACACTGGCGAAGATGAAAGAAAAACATTTCAGATAGAATGAAGAAGACATGGTAAATATTGTAAGACATCCGGGTAGAAGTTTCCAATAGGCAGATGGAAATGTGCACCTAGAAACAAGGTCTCAGATGAAGAAGTAAAACTATGGCAGAGAATGAGAAACTTTGAGGGAGGGTTCGTAGGATGCGGAGAGAATAAGGCTGATGGTTCGCCTGTAGAATATCAATCTTTAAAGGACAGACAGAGAAGGAAAGCAAGTCAGCTAAAGAACAAGGAGGAACAGTCAAGCATCTAAGAAGAGAGGAAAGTAGGAAAGATGGAACCAAGGAAAAGGAAATACATGGCCACCAGTGCCCAATGTATTGTTATGACTGTTCTAGTTTGTTGAATTCCCTTCCCCTCACCATGAATAGAAATATTTGCATGGTGTTAACTAATTCTGTTGAGTGTCTTTTGCTAGGCTAAACTAGGTCCCTCCTTCATTAAGTCTCAAGGAAGGTATGCACATAAAGGAAAAATATATTTTATATTGATTCTATATGCTCTCGAAGAAACGTGTTTTGTCATCCCTCATCCCTGCCTGCCATTCTGAAGAGTGATTAGTTAATTTTGGATTTATGAAACCACTTTTCAGCATATTTTAAATGTAATCACTTTTCATATTCTGTGCTCCTTGTTCTGTGAAATGAGTCAGAATACTGTGACCATTTCTTCTCTTCTGGGAAGAAAAATCAAGACCCAAAAGAATCATAGAGTGTGGAATAATAGACATTGAAGTCTCTGAAGGTTGGGAGGGTGGGAGGAGCTGTGAAATTAGAAATTACATAATGGATAAAATGTACATTATTTGGGTCATGGTTACACTAAAAACCCAGACTTCAGCACTATGCAACATACCCATAACAAAACTGCACTTGTACCTTTAAAATTTATACAAAAAGGACCCCAGAGAAGGTCTTCCCACCCTGTGATAATGGCATGCAGATATACACCAACAGAAATGTTTGCTAAGGAGGCTTGCTGCAAGGCCCAAACTAACTACCCAAAGAAAATCCATGACCCGTCTCCCTGCCTCCCTGCTTCTATGGCTTGGTCCTTCAAAGACTGGCTTATCACCTTCTGCATAAAGTTAACTCCAATATTATAGTCCTCAACTCCTTGCCTGTCTGTAAAAACACCATCATTTCTTAAGAACCTGTTAGGTACCACACACTGCACTAAGCATTATAGAATAATCTAGTGTCTTGCTTAACTTCAAGCAATTGTGTAAGGTAGATTTATGACACCCATATAATAGAAGAGGCAGCTGAGGCTTAGAGATGCAAAGTTATTTGTCAGGTCTGTTGAAATCTAATATCTAAGCATCAAGTAGCACACAAATCATAGTAAGATCATTTTATTACTCAGGTTATGCCCAGTTATGCTGCAGTAACAAACCACCACCATCTCTTAACAGCAAATGTTTGTTTCTCACTCACACAGCATATATATTACAGGTCATTTCTGCTAAATGTCCCTTCATCCCATGACCCAGGCTATCAAAGCTACCACTATTTTGAAAGTTGTTGGTTGGCACATGTATACATATGTAACAAACCTGCATGTTGTGCACATGTACCCTAGAACTTAAAATATAATTTTAAAAAGAGAGCTCTGGAGGGTCTTGTACTAGCAATTAAATGCTTTGGCATAGAAATGACAACATTGCTTCCATTCATGACACATTGGCCAGAGGTAGTCACTTGGCCCTATCTAACCACAAGCCATTCAGGAAATGCAATCTAACTTAGGATGCAGAAGGGAGAAGAGCCAAAAGTGAGATGCACTAATGATCACACAAAGTTAAAGAGGTTCTATGTATTATATTTCTGCATCCATTCCAGTGCCCTTCATTCTAGATTTTAACCCATAAGAACATTAAAACTGTATTGTGGAATCAAAACCACAATGAAATATTATTTTCATATCTATTAAGCCACAAGAGAAAAATAACAAGTATTGCCAGGATGTAAAGAAATTGGAATTTTCATACATTGCTGGTGGGAGTGTAAAATGGTGCAGCCACTTTGGAAAACAATTTGGCAGTTTTTCAAAATGATAAATATAGAGTTTCCATATGATTCAGCAATTCCACTCTTAGGTATATACCCACAAGAAATGAAAACATATGTCCACATACAAACTTGTACACAAATGTTTATAATCACATTATTTATAATAGTCAAAAATGGAAACAACCCAGTTGTCCATCAACTGATAAAAAGATAAATAAAATGTGGTGTATTTGTATATATAATGAAATATTACCCAGCAATAAAAATAAATAACTGATACATGCTACAACTTGCATGAACCTTGGAAACATTATGCTAAGTGAAGGAATCCAATCACAAAAGACCACATATTATGTGATTCCACTTACATGAAATGTCCAGAATTGGCTAATCCATAGATGCAGACAGGTTACTGGTTGCCCAGGGCTGGGGGTGTTGGGAGGAAACAAGAGTGACTGTTAATGTGTACAGGGTTTCTTTCTGGGGTAATAAAATAGTCTAAAATTATATTGTGATGGTGATTGCACAACCCTGCAAATATTGAATTGTATATTTTAAATGAGTGAATTGTATAGTAAGAAAATATCTCCACAAAGTTTAAAAAAGTTATATTGCAGAATCCATCTTTAGGACATATTTTAATGGTTTTAAATGGAAGTAGAAGAAAAGCAGGATGCCCAAATCTCATCATTGTAATATTAGTTAGACTTGGATTTCTCCCATTTAGGCATCATACTGTTCTTTATCATTTTCTCCATCTTTTAGCACATGGCCATTGTCACAGAGTGACAATGTTCCTTTTTTATTATTATTATACTTTAAGTTCTAGGGTACATGTGCACAACGTGCAGGTTTGTTACATATGTATACATGTGCCATGTTGGTGTGCTGCACCCATTAACTTGTCATTTACATTAGGTATATCTCCTAATGCTATCCCTCCCCCCTCCCCCCCCTCCCCACAACAGGCCCCGGTGTGTGATGTTCCCCTTCCTGTATCCAAGTGTTCTCATTGTTTAATTCCCACCTATGAGTGAGAACAAATGTCCCAATAGCAATGACCTCTAACACCTTAGTAGGAAGACATAGGCAGCATAAGGAAGCTATTGTTAAGAGTAAGAGCCTCTCTCATTTTGCTAAGCATATTTTTCTTTTGATAAAACATGTATGAATGTTACTTTTTGAAATGAGTCTTATAATTTAATATCATTTTTCCTAGGCTTTTAGAAATATTATATCCAAATTCAATGCTAAAACATCACACCTATATTAATTCCTATTGTGAGTGTGATGACAACTTTATTTCCTTGATCTTGATTTTTAAAATTCTATATTCTTCCTTTAAGTCTATCTCATATCACCTCTTACTCTCTCTAGCTTTATTTCAATCGTTTATTTCTTCACTGTCTTCCCCCATTGTCCTTCTCCCTCATGCTCATGATGGTTTCTACTATCCACCTTATCAGCTCCCAGAAGCCTGAAAGCTATTAAAAAAAAAAAAAATCAGTGGTGCAGATTGGGGACTACTGATCCTGCTAGATTACTAACACCTACAGAGCTAGCCTATCTGAGGATCAATTCTCATATAATTACCCAGTCAGCTGTTCATTATTTTAATCCTCCTTTCTTCTCAAGCCATCAAATCCTACCCCTTCTCCCTCACTTTCAACAAATGTTCACACATACTATTTCTTATGCAAAACTGAAACCTTCAGATGAAACTCCAACCTCCAGCCACATATCCTACAAACTGTCCATTCTATTGTAATGAAATAAATGCCCCTACAATTGATGACCAATACCCCTATTTCTGCTCAAATGTCTTCATCTGATTTTTATTCTTTCTCTCGCTGTCCTCATTCTTTTTATCTCCATTGCTTATTTCTTATGAGAATTCAAATAGCTGAAGTCTCTTCCATCTTAAGGATATCTGTCCTTGACTTCAAGCATTTGTGCAGCCAGGGTCCTATCTCTCCAACCCCTTCCCAGGCAAGATTTTAAAAGACATGTGGTTCCCAGTGTTTCATTTCCTTGCCTTTCCCTCAGTCTTCTGACTATTCAATTAGGTTCCTTTTTTCATCACTCTGGTGAACTGCATCACTCTGTCTGTACTAATAATCTCCATGCCATTAGTCTGGTGAATTATTTTCAGTCCTTTTATTTTACTTGACCTTTTGGTTATATTTGACTCAGTTGATTACTTTTTCTCAAAAATTTATTTTCTCTTGAGCCCGGTGACCCCACATGTTCTTGCTTCTTGTTCTGCCAGTTGAGTCCTTCTCAGTCTCCTCTCTATACTTCTTTTCTTCCATTCATCCCTTTGTGTTGATGTTCCTTCTAACTCTGGCCTAGGCCTTATTTATTTTCATTCTAAATGATATACCTGGATGATCTTGTACCATATCATGTTCAAGAGCAAGCAATTTGGACCAAAGGATTCCTGTTCATTTTTCAATGTTTACTGTGAGATCACCCCTTAGGTCTAGGTCTTTAAATGTAAATAAGCTCTGTTTCCTTGGAGGAATTTTTGGGAAGGAGGGAATCTTATTCCCATATCTGGGAGTTTCTCGTACTATCTCTTGATTTGTATAGTTATTTCTAAAGAGCTATATCTTCATATCGTTTTCTACAAAATAAAATTTGTATCATTTAACTGGATTTGTTGGTGTCTTTCCATAGTTCATATTATAGCCCCATTATAACATTAATATCAATCAGTGTCAGAAGTAGAATTGATATAAAGGCCTCAGATCCTAATGATCAAAGTTATTAGGCAAAGATATTGCAGCAAGTCATACTGATACCAAAAGAACCGGTTGATGGATTGACCATCCTTCACATCAGAATGAATACCTCTGTAGTGGGTAATAAAAAAGGAATTATTCCAAGAGAGAAGGATTACCCCTCTCTTAACTCTGAGTTTCTTGTCACTGTGGACTGAACATGAATTACAATCCCAAATTTTACCAAATTACAATTTCTTGGTTTCTTTCATTGGCTGTAGCCAAGGTCTTCAACTGACACTGAAACCATGACAGTATGCTAGGATAGATCCATCAGGAATGGCAGCATCTGAAATAAGGAAAGTACGTCTCAACCAAGTGTTCTACAGACGGATGAAAGGCTATTTATTAGGCAAAATTAGGTTTAAGTGTGAGAAGGAAAGAAAGAGCCGAGATTTGCTTATTCTCACTAACCCAGGGACGCAGCTCTCAAAGGGGAAAAAAGGGAAGTCTTGTGATTATTTTAAGCTATATTAAATTTATTATGTATAGAAACTAATCTATGTTTTCTTTATTTTAACTCCTCTTCTGAAAAAGTGCTATGAACATGGAGCTCTTTGATTTGGGCATCCCAAAAACAGTTTTAATGGCATACAGAAGTTTGGGTCTCAGAAATAATTTTCCATGTGAACTAGACACATTCTAGGAGGAAAATAAAAATATTTAATTGACATATGAAACTTCCATTTAAGAAAACTTAATTTCTTTTTGAAAGTTATGCTTAAGAGATGGGCATGAACCCAGCGAAATACAGTACTAAGAATGTCTAAGAAGTTGCAAAATATATTCATGATTATGTCCAGAGTGGGCCATGGTTGCTAAGCATACTGATTTAAAATTGTCTCAAGACAATGAAACTAAAGTGTTAAATAACTGATATTTGCAGACACAACTTTGGGAAAAGATGAGCTAGGGACAGAGCCAACTAAGATAAAGAAGGAGACATTGGCACGAAGCCCAGATCATCTCAAACCTTGGAAAAAGACCAACTGCTTTTTCCAGTCTGGAGCCTGTAGAATTTGACTTGAAACTCTAAGAAGTTGTATGGAGGGTGGGCAAGGGCTTCCTTCCACTCCCCTACTCTTTCAATGAAAGTGATTCAAAATTGGGAAGTTCCCCCAAGAGAAGGTTAGCTAAATGAGATTTTATTTTAAAATAGAAAGAAAAAGAAATCCTCTAGCTTCTTTCGTAAATTAAAAAACATCCTGAGAGAGAGAAGGAAGGACAAGCAGGGGGAAAGGTAGCTCAAATAAGACATTTTTGATCAAGTTGGATCCTACAAAGGGAAGATAGATTAAGCCCTTCTGCAAGATAGATTGAAGATGGGGACACCTGCCTTTAGCAGAGCAGCAGCCATTAGCAGAAATAATATCACAGGGCATCCATAAGTGAAACTATGTGGCTCTCAAGTATTGGTGTTGCCTCTACCTGAATGTAGATGCTAATTAAACATAGGATGAGAATCTCAACTGAACTACAAGCAAGTAGAATCCAAACCAATAAATTATTAGGGAGTATAAGGTTTGGACCACAGGAACTACCAAGTTGTTAAAAAATAAATTACTTGCTCCTAGCCCTTTCTAGTTCCAGGTGGAATCCCAACATGCAATAGGCCCCATTTAGGTTTGGCCAAAGCTATATCTAACATTTGAGAATCTTATTATGCCCTGTTTACCAAGTTATATAAGAAGAAAGTGACTGATTATTTCCTGTCTGTAGTAGTTGTACATCTACACAGAATTAAACATTAGAGAGGCTAAATCCTTGCAAAATGTTGGATAACTGCATCAAAATATTCTATAGCTACTGTTGTTATTATCATATTAATAAATTATTAATATCTGTTTTATGTAGAGATTAAAACTTCTGGGATAGGGCCAAAAATGTTGGAGAATTACTTGTACGGGGATTTTAGGATATGCAAATATAATGTGATTACAGAATTGCAAATGAAATGTGTTATAATCCAAATGTGCTAGTATCTTCTGATTTGGCCCTTGTGGAAGTCAAACAATTCATAGATATTTATTTGAGCTCTTGAGGTTAAGTTTTATAAGTGTCTCAGATTTCTTAGTATCAATTTGGTTATATTTTCTAACATTCTTAGTTTTTGAAAAGATAGACTGGCACAGGACTAAGTCATTTAAATATATTTTGTGTCAGCTCTTCATTGCCACAATAATGCTTTATGACAAACAAACCCTTCAGTAGCATAAAACATCAAGTGTTTATTGTTCACACATCTCGAGTGGTTGGTTGAGGCGTCTCTGCTGTTCTTGGCTGAGCTTATTAACGTGTGGATATTGCTCACTCTTGGTTGATCTTGGCTGAGTGTGGCTTGGGTAAGTGGGGCAACTCAAATATCTTACATGTGTCTTTTATCTTCCTGAGTATATTTTATGGCAGAGGAAGCAATACAAGGGAAAGAGCAGAAAAGTAAAAGGCCTCTGCAGAACCGCAGAAGTAGCATGCCATCACCTTCACCGCATTCTACTGGCTGGAGCATGTTGCAGTCAACACAGATAAAAGAGATGGGAAAATACAGTCTCTTTAGTGAGAGAAACTGCAAAGTCATATGGTAAAAGACATGGACACAAGGGAGGTTGCAGATGAAGAACTGGAATAGAATCCATCATATATATGATTGATTCTATTAATAGTAATAATATATATAATATGTAATAGTATTTTATTTAGATGTATGTGTGTGTGTGTGTGTGTGTGTGTATATATATATATATATATATATATATACATATGCCTTTAAAAAGTTGCAGTTTAACATTAAGATGCCCGTGATAAATAATAAGTTATGATGCTAGGACTCATAACAATAAAAAGTTAAAAAAGAGCTTTGGGAGAAACCCTTCAAAGTTTACAATTATCTGTATTGTCCCATTCCTTGACATTGCTGGCAGGTTTATGGGAATCTTGCTGAAATATTGGGTAGCCTGTGTCTCTGTATTCCTTGGTGTTGTTCCCTTGGAAGAATGTTGGGATTTCCTTTTCTCTTTCAGACAAGTGGTTATTGACAGGTACAGACAAGGGAGATCATTCCGATCAAAGAATGGCATTTTGTTTTTTCTGTAAAGGGCCAGACAGTAAACATTTTAGGCTTTGTAGGTCATGCAGCCTCTATCACAACCACTCTGGCATTATACTACCAAAGCAGCAATAGACAGTATACAAACAAATACACATGTTTGTGTTCCAATAAAATTGTATTTAAAAATCAGAGAATTGGCTGGATTTTGCTAATAGGCAGTGGTTTGCTTACCCTTGATCTAAACTTTAATACGTTGCTGCCAATTCCATGATGCTTGAGCAAGAGGAAGAAAAAATAGACTTCTAAAAACGGAGCAATAATATAAATTGAGAGCATTGTTTGTTGTGACAAAATATGGCACGATACACCAGAAGGTACTGGAAGGAATACTTAAAATAGATTAATAAACATATTAGAGCAAAGTAAAAAAGAAACCTGAATACTTGGACTTTGGAGAAAAGGTACTTTTTCTGCCCCATGTCAGTGGTTTGAAGTTCCTATGTTACCTCGCTCTGCTTTGAGTTCTCTTGTGAAATAATACAATGTGCTATCTCTGGTACCCAGATGTTGATTTCTATGGGGAAAGAGAACTCAGAATGAACCTGGAATTTCCTCTTGTGGAAAAGCAAGGATATATTTTTAAATTTCTGGAGATAATGGCCCTTAAAATGTTTCCTCTCAGCCGGATTGTGATAAATTAAACATCAAAAAGTAGGCAACACTAAGTTGGGACCAGTTGAGCCTGTGGAAGACATTAAATCCACATTGACACTCACGAAAGGAAAATAATAAATACACATCCAAGAGAATATTCCTACTGCCTATTAATTTTGATTAATTATTTGTATCAATTATCAGAACAGGAAGAAGGTGGGGAACAAATAACCCAAGTGATGAAGGAATATGGAACACTTTAGTTTGTTTACTAGATACAGTACTTTCTTTGTGTAGTTTGAAAACAATTTAATGCATTTCATGTGAGCTACAAGTTAGCATATTCCCATTGGTCATTTCATCATCTCTCTCTCTCCGTGGATGTCTCAAATTTAAGTCCACAATTAAGTCATCAAATTTAGACACACACACACACACACACACACCACACATTTCTCTTCCAGTGTTTCATATTTCTGTAAAGGAACCACCATCTACCCAACTGAAATGGCCACGCTTTTCAACTTTTCATTCAATTGATTTTCAAATTCTGTGTAGTTTTCTGCTTATATGTCTCTCAAGTTTATCTTCTCTCCATGCACCCGACTATCCTGGTTCAGGAGATGATATTTTTTCTTTCTTTCTTTCTTTCTTTTTTTTTTTTTTTTTTTTGTGAATGGGGCCTGTCGTGGCCTCCTAACTGGTCCGCTCCCTGGAGTTTTGATTCCCTCCAATACAGTTCATTCTCTAGTTACATAATCACAAATATGGTCACGGCACTCATTCTTTAAAACCCTTTTATGGTTCCTAAATCCCTTATGACAAAGGTCAGATGCCTTAACTCAACTCATGAAGCCTTCCGTGATCTGGCTACAGCCTTCCTGTTCTGCTTCACATTTCCCCTTTGCCTTTTATGCTTAGCCCTTCTGAGCTGTCTTGAATGCACTAGTGCCTCTATGACCTCACACTTACTGCTTTCTCCTCACACCCACGTCCCCACACCCATCTCCTCTCAACCCTCAACCCATTCACCTGCTCACTCCTGCACTCTTCTTCCATTTGGAGGGCATTTTCTGTCTTACTATTTTACACTATGGAACTCAAGAAGGTAGAGGCTGCTCCTGATTCACACACTGTTGTATTCCTAGTACCCAGCACCATTTCTGGCACATAATAGATGCTCCATAAATAATTGTTGAATGGGTGAATTTGTACTTTAATTACTTGGATACGTATGTATTTGGCTGAAGACCTAAAGACTAAATGCATTTTAGAAAATTAAAAAGAATGTATAATTTGGAAAAATATACATCTTTGGCTAGACTATAATGTTATTAACATCAGAATCCATAATTTTCTTAATTACTTTTATATCTCCACAAAGCCTTGCAGGATGCCGTGTGACAGATGAATTGTTTATTACCACAAATTCCCAAATTCCTAATTTAGTTTCAAATGAGCAATAACTCCACATTTATTTTTCTTTTTTTCTAAAAAACTTCTAACTTTGGAAGGTTGTATATATATCTGCTAATTTAGGACCAAAAACAATTCAATAGGGGTTTTCCTTAGTTTAAAAAGTTATATTTTTAAAAATTTACTATACGATGGGTTTTATGAATATATCCAATCTTTTTTGTACTTGTTTCTTGTCAGAAATGACCCTAAAAGACCGTTTTACATTTTGTAAGTTAAATCAAAAATGAAAGGTATGGTCTGACCAACACGTGGGAGATCAACTCTATTTTAACTATATGTTAAAGCTTAATGATAGGAAAGAAAATGCACCAAACTGGTTTTCAGAAAAGCCACATTCAAATCTGTCTCTGACACTTCTATGATGTTTAGCTACATGGCAAACTTACAAAGTCCGAATCCCTAAAATGTAAGCTTAATGAGAGCAAAGATTTTGTCTGCTTATCTCCTGCAATAGTGCATTAATAACAGTTATTGCCAAACAAATATTTGTTTAATTAATAACTGAAACATTGGTCCATGTACTCCCTTTCAGTTTCAGATTGCTACAAAATGAGGTAATAGTACATTTCTGGCAATTTCAGCAAATTATTGGGATAGGAAAAAATGTATATTTGAAAAGCTTTAAATCTAGAGAGAACTACACACGTTTAAGATGTTATTAACAGCTTTGTGGTTTCCCTCTAATGTCTGTAATCTGAATACCCAATTTTACTGGATTATTCATCTCATCATAGCTGGGGTTCTGTGCCCTATCATTGCAATATATGATTAGTATTATTTTATTATAAGTATATTACAAATTTGAAATAAGATATGAGAGTAAAGATATTGCCAGTAACACTAATAATTTGAAAACAGTTTATGTTTAAGAAAAAATAGTTTTGATATAGTGACAAATTAAGAATCTAGAGAGCATGGTTTCACATGGAATAATTTCAGAGGCAAAAAAGGACACATTTGCATAATTAACATTTATATAAAATTTTATAATTTTTAAACATTTCATATGCATGATCTCACTTAATTTTTGCAGTAGTCCTTTTGTATATAGACATTATTGTTTCATAAATGATGACATTGAGGAACAAAGAGAATAAATAAATTTTGCGTATTCACACAACTGGCAAGTCACAGAACCTGACTTTAAACCTGGATTATCTGCCTCCGAATCCTTTGCCAATTATATTTTACCACTGTCAGGTTTTGGGAAAAACTATAAAATTTCCTTTTTTTTTTCTTTGAGATGGAATCTCGCTCTGTTGCCCAGGCTGGAGTGCAGTGGCACAATCTTGGCTCACTGCAACATCTGCCTTCCAGGTTCAAGCGATTCTCCCACCTCAGCCTCCCAAGTAGCTGGAATTACTAGCGTGTGCCACCATGCATGGCTAATTTTCATATTTTTAGTAGAGATGGGGTTTCACCATGTTGGCCAGGCTGGTCTCGAATTCCTGACCTCAAGTGATCCACCTGCCTCAGCCTCCCAAAGTGCTGGGATTACAGGTGTGAGCCACCATGCCTGGCCTGAAGTTACTTCTGACACCAACTGCAAGTTCTGGAAGTTCCCCAAGACCACTATCTAGTTTTGATAATTCACTAGCAGAACTCACGGAACTCACTGAAAGCTATTATACTCACGGTTATGGTTTGCCAAAGAGAAAGAATTCACATTAAAATCAGCCAAGCGAAGAAGTGCAGAGGGCAGAGTTCAGGAGTGTTCGAAACATAAAGCTTCCATTGTCCTCTCCCCATGGAGTTAGGACATGTTACTCTCCAGGTATCAATATGCACAGAGTATTGCCAGCCAGGGAAGCTCACCCAAGTTTCAGTGTCCAGTCTCCGGGTCGCGGGTGGTTTTTACTGGGGCTCTATTTTGCAGGCATGGTTGATTGGGCGATTACCCACATGGTTGATCTTGGTCTCCAGGTCAATTGATACCACATGACCCAAAGCCCACAACTTAATTAACATTGTTGGTCTTTCTGGGATGGCTAGCCTCCACCTTAACACTATACAGGTGTGGCCAGACCCCACTCTAAATCACTTTATTAAACTATCCAGTATGATAGTCTAATAGATGATGAAACTGAGGCACAGAGAAGTTCAGTGACTTGCAATATCCTACAAGTTAGTTGTCTCAGGTTGATTCAAGGTTGTTGCAGTATGATTCAAGGTGACAGGAAAACAAAGACACTCCTATCAGGTGTAATATTACAAGCACCCAGAGATTACCTCCCAGAAACAAGACAAAGATCAGACCTTGTCTTTGGGCAAGGCCAAATTTGTTAACTACACAACTATGTTGGGAAAATAGTTTGCATAAAATAGAAAGACATAGAAAATAAAGACAGCCAGTAAATGCACATGTACATAAACATATGTCAATATAGCTTGTTGGATTCAAAATCTGAACCTTGATTTGGTTTTGTTATAGCCTCCTCTGGCCAGAGGATCAAATGAACTGGGGCGTGTGAGAAGTCCCAGATGAAAGGGATTATATCATTGCCATGGTTCAGATATAGCCCTTGTAGCTTATAACAAGAGATACAACTGTGAGTGATAAAAGCACAGAGCCCATTGTTTAAGGAGGAAAGTCTGGTTGGTTTATGGGTTTTTTTTTACAGGCTCTTAGTTACTTTCAGTTTGAAAAATTGATATCCATTATCAGACTAGCAACAGTCAACTCCTGGGGCTTTTTGCTAAAATTAGTTTTGATACCTTAAAGAATATTGATGACATTTTAGAGTAGAACAGCCTAACAGATCCAAAATAAAAGCTTTCTAAAAAAGGCTTTATCCTTTAGTTTTATCAAGAGGCCAAAAAAGAAATAAAAAATGAGTTCTGCTATTAGACGTAAAGGCTCCAGTCATTTCTATTTATACAACTGCTCAACTTTATCTACCATAAAGTAAAATAGGAGGCAGCACCACATGTCTGAGTAAGCCTGGTGTGTGCATCCTAATTCCTTTTGGGTTATGAGTTGTTTTCCTTTGGTATAATTTTAAGCCATTGAATTAGGTGAGGACTGTCTCTGGTGTCCTACATACCAAAACTACCATCCCATGCTTTTTCCCCAACCCTCTACCCACAGAGATTCTCTTTCTGCCCCCCCTTAAATTCTAAGACATCTTCTGTTAATTGGATTTATCTGAGAAGGAGAAAAATCTGTGATCAGAGCGGATTCGTTTCATGTGTTATTCCTCTTCTCAGGAGCATTTGCAATTAAAAGAATGTCATGGGGAAAATGTTTTCTAATTATATTTACCATAGTGGGTTTATTAGTGAGGATATGCAAAGCTCTGCTATAGTAACAAACCTCCAAATTTCAGTGGTCTGCCATAGCATCGGCAAACACCTCATGCAGGGCACAATCTAATGTGGGCTAGGAGGCATCTTCTGCCTGCCTTTCTCCCAACTGCTGACTCAGAAATTAGTGACTTTTATTTTGCAGTCTGGCATCTTGAAGTTCTTTGCTTCTAAATGTGTCGACCTAAGAGTGAAAGAGGATTGAACAGGTAACCTGTTCTTAATTTCCTGGGACTAGAGGTGAACAACATTCCTATTCAAGTTGCATTGGTTAGGGTTAGTCACAAAGAGCATGGTAGCTGGGAAATGTGGAGAGCAAAATGAGATATGTTAGGGAGAGGGAAATTCAGGAATCCATAAAACCATGCCAGCAGAGAATTACCCTCTGCACCAAAAGATCAGCTCAAGATTGTGTTATGAGTTCAGCAAATCTCTACTGAACATTTATTGTGTGCCAAGAACTGTGCTAGGTGCTGGGCACACACAAAAGAAAATTGTGGTTATTACCCTCAAGAAAATCACAATGGAATGAGGGAGATTGGTGAATGTCTATGATACAGTTTGACATTTACAATAACAGACATTGTATAAGTTACATTTGAATAATGTGTACCTCTTCAAGGCTGCTACATGAGAGTGTGAACCAGGAGAAGCTTTGCAAAGGAAGTGACTCCTCCCCAGATGTTAGGAGTTTTGCAGGCAGAGAAAGAGATCAAGAAAAGATCTGTGAGGAAGAACTAACAAGATCAAAACTGCACAAGCAACGAGAACATGCTGTGTTGAGGATGCTACAGTGGAATGCAGGAGCTTAATTTCAAGGTGAGTCATAGTAGAATGTGAGGCTGGAGAGCTGGGCTGGGGTCAGCTTCTGTAGATACCTCTTTTTAGCCACGCTGAAGTGCTTAGAGTCTTGTGGACAAAGGGAAACTGCTAAAGGGTTCTGAACAGAAGGAAAATCAGTGTCTAAGCTACTCTTGAAAGCTTAAAACTTCCTAACCTTTATTTAGCTTTCACCCTGAGCCAAAAGTGGAGCACTTCATATGCATAATTTTATTTCATCCTCCTAGAAACCTTAAGAAGTATTATTATTATTATTGCCATTTAAGATGAGGAAACTTGAGGCACAGAGAAGGTCAGTAATTTTCCCAAGGATACACAGCCAGTATGTGAGGAAGCCATGATTAAAACCTAAGCAATATGATGCTGCAGTCAGATCCTTTTATCTAGACCATAGCTGTTCAATAGAAATATAATGTGAACTAATGTGAACCACTTAGAAAATTTAAATATTCTAGTACTCACATGAAAAAAATGTAAAAATGAAACAAGCTAAATTAATTTTAACAGTTTAACACAATACAGTCAAAATATTATTTCAGTTTGTAATCAATATAAAACACAATGAGATAGTTTACATTATTTTTTCGTACAAGGTCTTTGAAATCTGGTGTATTACACTTGCAGTACATCTCCATTCAGACTATCCACATTCCAAATATCCAAGTCTCATGTGGCTAGTGGCCATTGTATTGGACAGCGCTAACCTAGAGAATTTACTTCTGTGGTTTTAGGGGAATTTAGCTGTAGGGTACTAAGGAGCCATAAAAGTAAATTCTGCTCCTGTTTGGGTGGTTCATTTCTGGTCACAAACACAGATTAAATAGCTTGATTTCAGATAATTTTCTGCTCCTAAAACTTGTTCTAAAGTCCTCTGTTCCTCCTCATGGCAGTATTCAGTAGTAATTACACCTCTCATCCTAAATTAGCACATCTGGCGCTTATAGGTGTCATGGTTCATTGTCACGACTATAAGTGACAGATGGACTATTCAAATTCCTCATGCAGAAGGGACCACAATATGTCCAGTATCTAGTAAATTTTCTCTACTGAGTTTGATTCCCTCAGAGTGATGGTAGATATTATATATGCCCAGCGTGTTTTGAATGCCAATGTGGAAATCTTAGCAATTCCAATTAGGGTCAGCTTGTTGTACTCATGGGGGTAACATTAAACATGGATAACTGAGTTTTCCAAACAGAGGATGACCCCACTGTTTGTCCTTCATAAATATACATGGTCCCTTAGCCTATTTAACTAAACTCCTATCTAAATATGGCCTGTGGGAAGGAAGAATTTATACAAAACAATCTAATAGTATGTCCGAAGACCCTATATGCCCCCACACCAGACTTCATTGTGCCCATTATATACCTTTACTGAAAATCTATTCATCTGCCATTCTCATGCCAACCAGAATAACACACTGTATTTTGAAACACAAAACACATATGATAAGTTTGTCTGTGAGAAAAAGTTGTGTTTTACGCTACCATGGAGTAAATTTTACCTCTTTTAAAATCTGCAATTTAATAAACCTTTTGGAGTTCCTATGACTAAAGAATTATCTTAGACTTTGTGAGATGGTGATGGATACACAAATAATTACATACTGTCTCTGACTACAAGTAGGCTAACACAGTGGCTAAAAGTTTGGATCCTAATCTAAGACAGATCTGAATTAGAGCTGCAATATCCTTGTTTGTTTGACTTTATGTGAGTTGTTTAAACTCTCTAAGCCTTTGGTTCTACATCTGTAAAATGGAGTTAATGACAGAACTTCTCTTGTAGGGTTGTTGTGAGAATTAGAAGTATGAAATATGGAAAGCACTCAGCTTAGTAATTGGCAAAAAATAAGTGGCCGATAAGGATTCTTGTTCATTGTCTTTTTATTTTTCTTGCTCTTGTTATCTTCTAGTGGGAAAGGCAGACTCAGATACCTATAATGAAAATTGTAGTGCAGCAAATGCTAATTGTGGTGCAAATCAATACTGGGAAGGTAGCAGAACTATTCATTCTCATTAGCGTCATAGATGTTTTCATGGAGATGGTGGCGTTGCCTAGGTCTTTGAAGCATGAGAAGGAAGAGAGGGGAAATAAGGAAAATTTGTGCAAAGTCATGGATAGTGGAAGTAAGGTCCACAGTTTAGAACTAACAACAGAAGACTGGTATGTTCGGCCACTGGAATTTGATTTGAAGAATAGTTTGACCCTTATGAACTTTGGACTAAGAAGTTTGGGACATTCTTAATAAATGGACAGCCATTTCTCTTTTGTGAGAAGGGCAGTCACTATACAATGTGTGTTTATTAGAGAGATAACATTGAAGGCATTATACAAAACAAAATTGAGAAGCTGACAATCTGGGCAGTTTCAAAATATAGCTGGTATTTAAGACAGGTCATAAAAAATAAACTTATTGACTTTCAAATCTGACCTGACATTAGTACAAAGACATTCTTAACAAAAAAGAGACTATGTCTTCCCTTATCACCTTGTGTGTTCTCAAGACTTGAAGAATTTTAAAATAAATCTGGATAATATTGCCAACCCTAGTTAAGACAACAAATGAATTGAAGGTCTCTTAATTTCGGTATCTAGCATAATCATAGAAATGGTATCCTCCGGTAAGAAAAAGCCTTGGCGGAGGTGGGGGGGCTTTGAAAAATTACTGATGTTTATGTCCCACCCAAGTCTAATTACATCAGAATCTCTAGGTGTGAAAACCACTGATCTCTCTTAGGTGCTTTGTACAAATTTCGATATTTAATAGGTGGTGACTTATGATTCTGATACAAGGTGTTGCTCAAAGATTATCCAACTGTTTTATGTCTTCACTTCCCTCCCCTCCATGCATGCTTCGTGGAGAAGTGATTTGTAAAGGAAAAGCTCACAATTCCAATGTCTCCCCTCATGGCATTCTTTTCTTTTCCTTGATGATAAGAGATCACCAAAAGCAGAGGAATATCAGCTTAATGTATTGCTTCTAAAATATTCTACCAAAGTACCAACTGTGGCCAAAAAAATATTCTGCTCTCAGAGAACTAGAGCACATATTATTTTTTGAATTAAAACTTTTGTGAATACTACATTCACACAATATATTTATATTAGCTTAATTTAAAATAATATTATAAATTAAATTCCATGAAGTCAAATTAACATACTAGAAAAATATACCATGGTTTTCCTGTGGTTTTCCATATCCCTTTGTACTCTGCCCGAATATCTTTGAGAATACATATATAGCAGTTTAAGAAGCATGACTGTCAGAGGGAAGGTTTAATTTAAAATTATCAGACTTGAGATATACACAGTTCTACTGTTAATTAGTTAAGTGGCCTTAGTAAATAACTTGACCTCTGTGGTTGTTTGCACACACACCCACACACGTGTTAAATTAGATTTGGGAGTCTTTTTATACTAAAAACATTCAAGATGGAAATTTTGTATGGTCTTATAAAAGGCTGGAAGTTGGAGACCTGTATAGCCACTAAAAAGTTGAAACTAAGGAAAATCCCTGAATGAGAGTTGTGTGTGTGTGTCTGTGTGTCTTTTGTTTATTAATTCTTTGGGAATCCATCATGGAGTTATAAATTTACTCAAAGTTCAGATAGCTTATGTTTCTTCTCTAAGATCAATATTAAAACTTACATCTTTCTTTATTTGCTGGTTAGTTCCTTCTTGGAAAGGATGTAGTGAAAAATTTCCCTACATTGGTTTTCAGTTATCCATTGCTGCATAACAAACCATCCCAAAATAAGGTGGCTTTGAACAGCAATGACTTATTACTCCTCACAATTCTGTGGGTTGGCTGTTGTTCTCACCTGAGCTGACAGCAGTCAACTGGTGGCTATGCTTGGATAGCTGGGCCTCTGTCTTCACATAGTCTTTCATGGCAGCTTCTCCATAGCAGGGTCTCGGGCTTCCAGGAGGGCAAACCCCAATGCACAACCACGTATCAAACCTCTGCTAGAATCATATCTGCTGGTGTTCTATTGGCCAAATCAAGGCACATGGGCAAATCCAGAGTCTATATGGAAGAGTATTACATAGGGCAAGACTTCTGCAAGATGTGATTCATTGCAGGCCATTATTTAACCATCCACCACAACCTCTTGTCCGTTTGATAAAGGTAATAGATGACACTGTATAATTTGAGAAATGCTATGAAGACATCCTCTTTCATATATTCCCAGAAAAACTGCAATTAGAGTTTCGTTCCATTGGATTAAGGTGATGGTTCTCTACTGAAGTTCATTTCAGAGCTAGTCTGGTATTTTCTCAAAAGAAAAATAGATGTCTGGCTCCCTATGCAGAACAACCAAACCAAATCACTCCATAGTTGATTCCGACGTACACACCTGATTAAAACTGACTGGGTTACATATTACATTTCCAGGAATGATAAATTAACTTGTGAAGACCAAATCAGAAGTGTAACACCAATATCTGATGGTCAAGATCTCAGAGAATAAAACTCACTGAGAATTTCAGATTCCTCCTTTTTAAGTCCTGCAAAAGTAGCCTAGTTCCTAAGTCTGGAATGTGGGAAATTTTGCCAAGGATTGTTTTGTTCTTCAGTCTCTCAATCCAAACTGAAGTAAATAGAGTTTCCTTCTAATATATTATTACAAAAAATAGACATCTAATATAAGGGTTAATTATTCCTTTGCATATTTTAGGTAAGTACCACTAGGTGCATAAAAACAGTTCCTCGTTGACATAGTTAGGACTTACTCTTATTGAGGACAACTGACATAATAGATTAGCACATAACTTATTTAATGTGTTCATTTAAAACATAAAATATTTTAAGGGGATAAAACACACTAATGAAATACTCATTGGTGGCCAGGCACGGTGGCTCACACCTATAATTTCAGCACTTTGGGAGGCTGAGGCTGGTGGATCACCTGAAGTCAGGAGTTTGATACCACCCAACATAGCAAAACCTTGTCTCTACTAAGAATAAAAAATTAGCTAGGTGTGGTGGCATGCGCTTGTAATCCCAGCTACTCAGGGAGCTGAGACACGAGAATCGCTTGAACCTGGGAGGCAGAGGTTGTAGTGAGCCGAGATCATGCCACTGCATTCCAGCCTGGGCAACAGAGTGAGACTCTGTCTCAAAGAAAGAAAGAAAAGAAAAGAAATACTCATTGGTGATTAGGGGAAAGCAGTACCAAATTTAACACTAAACTTAACTATAATCTTGCTTAATTCAACTCGTTTGTCATCTGAAGTTGAATAAAGCAATTCACTATGAGCCTTTTCTTACAGTTAGTCTTTCCTCTGAGTTTCTGGAGCAGCACGTTGGCTTTCTCATCTCACTCTGCCAGCTGAGTATTCAGTATATACACTCTTGTGTATGCTCAAGGGAGAGGACTTGCTTGCCCTTCTAACTTCCTTACATTCTCTTTTCCATTTGGCAGGCAAAAAAATAACAGGCCTCATAGTGACTTTCCAAGTCTTAAGTTGAGAAAGTAATTTACTCAAACCACCTCTTCTTTTCTTCCAAAAAAGCTTGCATTGGTACACATAATTATTATAAATGCTAACTTCAATCAGATGCTTAAGATTATGCATTAACCACTCAAACAGGCACCTGGCTCTTTTGGAAACAGTCCTATTTTTTAAGGGCTACACCCACTTTTTATTTTTGGACACTGCTTTTGAAATTCATTTAAAAATAACTGTTTTCAAATGAGCAGGTAAAGACATTATTGAATGCACTGGGTGATGCCATTGGAGACAGGAAAATCTAAAGGCTTTTTGCATTTGCATGACTCAATCACCACACATATCACGTACATGCATGTTGAGCAGAGAAATAACACTGATTTGATTCATAAGACTGGGCCTGTAATTCTAGCTCCATCATCAATTATTTGTGAAGCCTTGAGAATGTCATTTCACCATGTAGGGTTTTATTTTATGCATGGTAAAAATAGGGTGGTGGTGTGCTAGTTTATTTCTAAAGTGATTGCCAGCTCTAATAGTCAACAATTCTAACCACATTGCACTTTTCTTGGTACTGATTTGATTCAGCCTCCTGTTTGAGGTCACAGATATTTTGATAACCTTCCCCACCAGTACCTGGGGTCTAAATTTCTTCGAGAAAATACTATACACACACAAAAGAAAGTACTACACAAATGTTTTAAGGAAATAAAGGGATTGGGGGCTATTCTTTGTAGCAGGAATTTTATGCCTAATGAACTAATAATTTACAGTCTTTTCTTCTTGAAACCTAATCTGTGAACCTCTATGGGATTATATATTCTCCAGGAGCTTTCTTATAAGTTACCACGACTGGATGGTTCAGGGTCCCACATACTGATTCATGAACAGACCAGGTAGGTTAGAAAATCATTAATAGTTGTATTATCTGAGGCAAGAGCAGCCCTTTTACTATCCAGTAAAGTATTCTAAGTGCAGAATATTGGAACATCCCATCACTGAAAACATTGTTTAAAAATGTTCTGATACAGGGTGTCTCAAAATTTAACACACACAGACCACCTGGGGATCTTGTTAAAATGCAGGTTCTGATTCAGTACATTGGGGTTTGGGTCTGAGATTCTATTTTTAAAAATTTATTGTTTTTTAAATTGACAACTATCATTGTATGTATTTATGGGGTACAATATGATGTTTTGATGCATATCTATACTGTATAATGATCTAATCAAGGTATTTTGTGAATCCATCACCTTATGCATTTATAATTTATCTCATGAGTTTGTGTTGAGAACATTCAAATTACTCTCTTCTAGCTATTTTGTAATATACAATATTTTACAACTAACCATAGTCACCCTACTGTGCAACAGAACACCAGAATTTATTCCTCCTATCTAATTGTAACTTTGTACTGATTGACCAGCTTCTCCCCATCTTCCCATCCTCCCTTCCCTCCCCAATCTCTAGTAACCACTATTCTACTCTCTGCTTCTATAATATCAACTTAAAACAATTCCACATGACTGAGATCATGCAATATTTGTCTTTCTGTGCCTGGCCTCCAGGTTCATTTATGTTGTCGCAAATGATAGGATTTTATTCCTGTGGCTGAATAGTGTTCCATTTTGTATACAGACCACATTTTCTTTATCCAGTTGTCTGTTGTTGGACACTTAGATTGATTCCATATCTTGGCTGTTGTGAGTAGTGCTGCAATAAACATAGGAATGCAGATATCTCTCTGACATATTGATTTCATTTCCTTTGGATATGTACCCAGTAGTGGGATTGCTGGATATGGCAGTTCTATTTTTGATTTTTTGAGGAAACTCCATACTGTTTCCCGTAATGGCTATGCTAGTCTACACTCCTACCAAAAGTGTGCAGATTCCCCTTTCTCTATGTTTTTGCCAACACTTCTTTTCTTTGTGTCTTTTTGATAATAAGCACTCTAACTGAAGTGAAGTGGTAACTCATTGCGGTTTTGATTTGCATTTCCCTGATAATTAGTGATGTTGAACATTTTTTCATATCCCACCTGTTGGATATTTGTATGGTCTGTTTTAAAGAAACGTCTATTAAGGCCTTTTGCCCATTTAAAAAGATCAGGTTACTTCTTGTTGTTGTTTTGCTCTTGAGTTGTTTAAGTTCCTTATGTATTTTGCATATTAACCCTTGTCAAATATGTAGTTTGCAAATATTTTCTCTCATTTCACTCATTGTCTCTTCTCTTCGTTAATGTTTTCCTTTGATAAGTAGTTGCTTTTTAGTTTAAGGTAATCCCAATTGTCTATTTTTGCTTTTGTTGCCTGTGCTTTTGAGGTCTAATTTCAAAAATCTTTCCCTAGCCCAGTATCACAATGCATTTTCCCTGTTTTCTCCTAGCAGTTTCATAGTTTGGGGTTTTCCATTTAAGTCTTTAATCTATTTTAAGTCAGATTTTGTGTATGGTGAGGGGTAGGGATATAGGTTTTTCTTCTGCATGTGAATATCCAATTTTCCCAGTACCATTTATTGAAGAGACTGTCTTCTCTAGCATGTGTTCTTGGCACCTTGGCCAAAAATCAGTTCTCTGTAGGTGTGTAAATTTATTTCTGGGTTGTCTTTTCTTTTCCATTAGTCTATGTGTCTGTTTTTATGCCAGTACCATGATGTTTTGGTTACTATAGCTTTGTAGTATATTTTGAAGTCAGGTAGTGTGATGCCTCCAGCTTTGTTCTTTTTGCTCAGGATTGCTTTGGCTATTTGAGGTCCCTTGTGGTTACATATGAATTTTAGAATTTTTTTATTTCTATGAAGAATGTCATTGGTATTTTGACAGGGATTTCATTAGATGTGTAGATTACTCTGGATAACAGGACATTTTAAAAATAGTAGTTATTCCAATCCATGAGCACCAGATATCTTTTCATTTATTTGTGTCCCTTGCAATTTCTTTTATCAAAGTTTTATAGTTTCAGTGCAGAGGTCTTTCACCTCCTTGATTAAGTTTATCCCTCAGTATCTTTTTTGTAGCTCCTATGAAAGGAATTATTTTCTTGATTTCTTTTTCAGATAGTTCACTATTAACATATGAAAACACTACTGATTTTGTATGTTCCTTTTGCATCTTGCGACTTTGCTAAATTTGTTTAATAGTTCTAGCAGATTTTGGTGGAATCTTTAGGGTTTTCTATATATAAGATTATGTCACTTGCAAATGAACAATTTGACTTCTTTACAATTTGGATGTCATGTATTTCTTTCTCTTGCCTAACTGCTTCTAGAACTTCCAGTGCTTCGTTGAATGGAAGTGGTGACAGTGGGCATCCTTGTCTAGTTATTGATCTTAGAGAAAAAGCTTTCAGTATTTCCCCATTCAGTATGATGTTAGCTGTGTGTTTGTAACATGTGGCCTTTATCATTCTGAGGTTCATACCTTCCATACTTAATTTGTTGAGAGTTTTTAATCATGAAGTGATGTTGAATTTTCTCAAATGCTTTTTTCTGCATCTATTGAAATGATCATATAGTTCTTGTCTTTCTTTCTGTTAATGTGGTATCTCACATTTATTGATTCATGTATATTAAACTATACTTTCATCCCTAGAATAAATCTCACTTGAACACAGTGATCTGTTTAATATGTTGTTGTATTCAGTTTGCTAGCATTTTGTTGAGAATTTTTGCATCTATATTCACCAAAAATATTGGCTTGTAGTTTGTTGTTGTTTTGTCCTTGTCTGGTTTTGGAATCAGGGTAATTCTGGCTTTATAAAATGAATTTGGAAGTATTCCCTTCTCTTCAATTTTCTAGAATAGTTTGAGGAAAATTGGTGTTACTTCTTTTAATGTTTGGTAGAATTCAGCAATGAACCCATCAGGTCCTGGGCTTTCCTTTAATGAGATACTTTTTTTTGTTACTGATTCAATTTTCTCACTTGCTGTATTCAGATTTTCTATTTCTTTATAATTTAATCTTAGCAGATTGCATGTGTCCAGGAATTAATCCATTTCTTGTATATTATCAAATTTGTTGGCATACTGATGTTCACACAAAATCTCTAGTGATCCTTTGTATTTCTGTGGTATTAGTTGCAATGTCTTCTTCTTCATCTCTGATTTTATTTATCACCACTAAACCAGCCTTACAGGAAATTCTTATGGGGGTGCTACACCTGGAAATAAAATGAAAACAGATGAAAGCATAAAACTGACCAGTAGAGGTAAATTCATAAATCAAACTCAGAATACTCCAGTGATGTGCTAGTGCTATGTAAATCTCTCAATCCTCTATTACGAAGGTTTGAAGTCCAAATGGTCAGAACAACAACAGCTATAATTAATATATAAGAAACACACAATAGATGAAGAAGTAAATTAAGGCAACAAAAATATAAATTGTGAGGGAGAGGGAAAAGTTAAGATAATTTTTATGTGACCAAAGTTAAGTCGCTATCAGCTTAGAATGGCCTATTATAGCTATGATGATAATGTGTAGTTATGTTAGCTCCATAGCAGCCACAAAGAAAGAAATTACAGCAGATGCACAAATGAGAAAGAAAAAGAAAACAAAGCTCAGCACCACGGAAAACCCCCAAACCCAGAGATAAACAAGAGAGAAACAAAGAAACAAAGGGTCTATAAAACAACCAGAAAACAATAAACAAAATGGAAAGAGTAAGTTGCTGCCTATCAGTAATAATCTTGAATGTAAACAAGTTAAATTCTCCAATCCAAAAGACATAGAGTGACTGAATAAATTAAAACACAAGACCCAACTATATGCTGCCTACAAGAGGTCGGCCTAACTCTTAAAAACAAATATAAACTGAAAATGAAGGAAAGGAAAAAGATATTCTATGAAAATAGAAACCAAAAATGAACAGGAGTAGCCATCTGTATATCAGATAAAATAGACTTTAAGTCAAAAAATGTAAAAAGATATAAAGAAGGTGATTATATAATGATAAAAGGATCAATTTAAAGAGAGGATATAATAGTTGTAAATATATATATATATTTTATATATATGCATCCAACACTGGGGGACCCAGATATATAAATCAAATATTATCAGACCTAAAGGGAGTGATACTGCAATAAAATAATGATAGGGGACTTCAACACCCCACTTTCAACAATGGACAGGTCATTTGGGTCTGAGAATCTGCTAGTCACAGATAGTACTTTGAGAAACGAGGCACTAAGGGATTGGATGAAAATGCCTGTGGATTTTATATTAATTATAATTCAGTTTGCCTAGTGTAAAGACAGATAGGCTGTACACCACTTTCAAAACATACTAACTGAGCGAACATGGGAAAGATCTCTTTCCAAATGGCACATCAATAGAATGGCATGTTTCAGCTTTAAATATTCATGACTTGTCTTTCTCTTGTTTCTTTCAAGTGTTTTGACATTTACTTAAGTAATTACTGTCACTATCAAATGGCAGCCCATATTTTTGTCCTTTGCAAATCCCCCATGTTATTATTCATGCCTTTGTTCCATTTCCACTCTTGGAAGCTGCTTTTATCAGGTTTGCCAGGTGGATTCCACACATATCTTGAATTAATCTACACAGCCCATCAGACTGTAGCCAACTTCATTTAATCAAGAAAAGCACAGAGGGAGACAGTAACAGGAAGGAGAGATTGGAAGCCTGATGACCACTACAAGGTACACTGATCAGACAAAACAAAAAAGCCACTTTCCACTCACGTCTGCTTATAACTGGCAATGCCAGAATCTTAATGTGTTTTGCTAAATCCATTGCAGAGTTGTCTTCCAAAGATACATATTGATGTGTTAGCTTCACAGTCTTTGTTTCCCAAAGGTATCTTTATTACCAAATATTGCAGAACTGACAAATTGTCTTCCTCTCTTTCTGTGAGTTCATTTGGGACTTGAGTTATGGGAGATGCTTAAAGGAAAAGGGAGGTATCATGTGTTTCTAATTGTGCTAAAATCTCTAAATATATTATTATAAGCCTGTTTAGAGTATTTAACACATAGTCAGTTATGCATGAATCTCCTATGAATGGCTGATTTTTCTTTTATTAAAGGAAAAAATCATTTTTAGATTAATAAGTGGTTCATTTTTCAATAAAAATTTTTTGGCTCTGCTCTACAAAAATAAATCCATCAAAACTCTCTCAGTAATGGCCACAAATATTTTGTATTTGTGCACTTTTAAACTAAAAGTTGAAGTCATTCTAAAGTCAATCAATTAGTCCTTAACCAAGGTTAGGTACAATTGGGTATTAGCATGCTACTGCATAATACACTGAGCTTCCAGAACAGAAAGTAATCAGCCAAGTTTTAAATGTTCTAGAGCCTTTGAATCAGGCAAAAACCAAATACTTTACATGTTAATTTTGCATATAAAGAAACCCAGAAGGGGTTAACTTAATCCAAGATCTGAGAAAGTCAGATGGACAACATGGAAGCTGTCATTTTATGACATCTGTCACTATAGCAGCTAAATTTGGTGGGGCGGGCAAATTATATTGGGAAAATGGCCTTTTGACAATTTTTTTTTAGTATTGATAATATACATTGTTTTTTCTTCCTTCAGGCATTATGCCTCCTTCCTTTCCCAAGAGACAAAAGAGCAGTCCTTGTAGGTAGTTTTTAATAATGTAGCTCAATACTGTCAAGTCTGAATACTTCCATGCGGTAGGCTATAGAACACTTCTCTTGTGTGTTGGGGGTGGGGGACGCGGGGGAGGGGGGTGTCTTTTGCAACCTGAACTTTCTGATTCTGCCAGGCCCTTTTGGAATCAGCAAGGTAGGATGTGTGATGTCAGCAACTGTGCCTGTTAGGGAGGAAGGGTTCTCTGTGGGGTAAGCTGACGTCTCTCTAGGAAATGACTTCTGTGCTGATGCTCTGATTTCTCCCTTTGGGGCACAAATTCATCCTGACACACATCTGCAGAGAAAAAAAAAATAGATCACAGTTTCATTTTCTCAGGAGTAACCTTTTCTGGTGGTCTCCAGGTCACTTCAGGTGACGTCTGACACCTGTGTATTGGTGAACATCACAGAGCAAAAAGAGAACACAGGGCTACTGCTCGGGCTGCCCTTTGCTTGGCTCATTTCCATGCTTCTTTGGGAGTTAATATTTTGAGATCTTCTTTCCACAGAACTTCTCAACTCTTGAAATGCCTAGAACTGAATATGCTTACCTCATTTCATGTGATGGATGCTATTGAGAATTGCTTATATAGAATTAATCTTTCCTCTTGATTCAGATCATAATGCGAGATGTTTTATTTCTATTCCAAAGTGATCTCCATTTAACAAGGCTCCTAACATGAAATTTAGTGCCATCAGTCAGTCACATAATTAATAATCTGTGGAATATCATAATGTGCTGTTGTGATACTTGCTATTTGCAAAGGTCTTTAATGAAATACTGCAAGGGGCATGGAGTGGGAAGTAAGAAGGTATTACCTCTTTGCTCTGTGATGCCTCTATTGGAGAAATTTATTTGAAAAAATGACCTTTTTAAAATTGCTCCCTAATATTAATTATAAATCTATATTAGAAAAGAAACTCATTCATTCTATAGTCACTATTTATATCACTAGTAAGGGAAGCTTTGATCTTTTCTATCATAGATTGATGGCCTTATAAAATGAGTCTTAAGGTAGAAAGAAAAAAATTTAGTGTTTGTTCAGTAAATGAAATAACATCTTTTGGTCCATCTCAAATGTCCCCTTCCCCCACTGAAATGGGACTGGTAGCATCACTTCAGAATGGGAGGATTAAAATTTTATCATCTAATTGTCATTTATTTTCTTTATGGTCCTGTTTAAGAATGTTTTGCTTTCTCAAAAGTCATAAAAACTGTATCCTATGTTTTCTTCTTTTCTCTACTTTACATTTATATCTACTATCTATCTGAAATTGATTTTTGTGGTTGGTGTGGGGGTAGCAGTCAAGATTCACTGTTTTATCAGTTGGATATTTAAATAATCCAAGACCATTTCTTGAAAAGATCACCTTGTCTCCCATGCCACTGCATAATCAATTTTATCAGAAATCATGTGACAGTATATGAGTGGTCTGTTTCTAGACTCTATTTTCTTCCATTGATCTATTTGTCTATTCTTGCACCAATACCACATAAACTTCATTGCTTTAACTTTATAATAAGTCTTGATATCTGACAATGTCCTCTAGCTCTTTGCTTCTTCAAGATTTCCATGGCTTTTCCTGGCCTTTGAATTTCCATATAAACTTTAGTAGCAGTTTGTGCATTTCCATTACGATTGAGATTGCATCAAATCTATAGACCAATTAGGAGAAAAATGGTAACTTTACAATATTGATTATTTGAACCCATGAATATAGTCTATGTGGAGGAGCAGGATTAAAGTTTAAAAAGATCTGGAATAAATCCTGCTTTCCCCCAAATTAAACATTTAGTTGAGTGCCAGATATGCCCTACCAAAAAAAATGTGAAGAAGGTGAGTATTGGCTTCAGTACCACTCTGCATTTTTTTTTATCTTCTCTTCTCACTTTTATACCACTGGAAGTCCAGGAACCTCATCAATTTCTTTTGGGTGTCTGGGCATGTTCATTTCAAGCAAACTCCATATCACATCTCTCCAATCAAAACTCATGCATCACACAGTAACGCAATACAAAATTGTGATGAGCTACTCATTTAAGAAATGTTAGTTAAGTTTGGAATCGTATACACTGTATCAGGAAATATTTTTGATTGGTGTATCAGTAACTATGACCACGATACTGCTGCATAACAGCCACAGAATCTCAGAGGCATACAACAATAGGGTCACAAGTCTGAATATCAGCTAAGGGATGGCTATATAGGAGGACTTGGGTGGGGAGGCTCTGCTCTTTGTTTCTCTCATTTTCCTCCCAAGAGCAGTGAGCTAGTCAGAACGAGTTCTTTCCATAGGTTTGCAGAGGTGTAAGTGAGAAAGCCCTGTCTCTCGAGTGCTTTTCATGCCTTGTATCTCCTGACATTCCACTGTCTAATGCAAGCAAGTGGACAAACCCAGAATCAAGGGATGAGCAAGCATGTTCCACCCACAAAGTGAAAGAGGGGTGAGTGAATAATTTTTAACAATAACCTAATATACCATAGTTGAGCAATCTCACAAGTTCTTAAACCTATGAGCTTGCTAAATGTCAATGTATAATCAAATTCTATTTTAATGAAATAACAGACATTAGCAGATATCATTGTGTTGCCCTAAGGATTCCTTTGTTTTAGATGTATCCAGCCTACATTTCATCAGTGACACATCTCTGTGCCCCACATGTATTCCTCACTCATCTACGGGCTTAATTCTCCATCCCTTCAAGATTCAGCAAAAGTCTTTCCTCCTCTTGGAAGCCTCCCTAATGTCTTTTCCTGTCGAGTATTTTTCGAATGTCCGTCCTCTGGTGCCAACAGAAATCACACTGTGCATTAATCTATTAAAGCACTTAATACATTGTGTTGAAAATATAATTTGTTTATCTGCCCCACAAAGAAGACTTTAACATATTTTCTGTCTCAACTGCCCCACCTATTCTTTTTACAGTGGGTCTGTAGGACAGGATTGATCTTTATCTCCTTATTCTAGGTACTTAACATTTTGTGGGTGATAATTCATGTTAAATGAGTAAATGAATGATTCCCGTGCACGTGTAGTGAATGTATATTTCCTCAGAATGTGTTTTGTGTCTCCTAGAAAGAAGTAACGTAATTGAGTCACAGTATTCGTTAAATTATATGTTTTTGGTCTATTTTGCTATTTTATGTATGCCTCAAACTCTAGTTGAGAGCTTCTCTTTTTTATTTAGATAAAAGAAATAGAAAAATTTAGAGGCAAACATTACTTAAACATGAAGCACTGTTTTGATTTAAAATAAAAATTAATTGCCTTCTAAAATATCAAGTTCTGCTTAATTTTAGAAAAAGACTATTTTTATACCTATAATACTTATATCTTCTACCACTTTGGTTTCCTTGAAGTTGCCTATTGAGACTAATTTTAAAAATGGAAAACTTACACTGTCCCTGAACAGAAAATGTGTTCACATTTGAACTGCCTTGAGAACCTCTGTAAGTAGCGGCCACACATATGTGCCTTCTCCAGCTGGTATCTGGTTATCCTTATATGAGGGTGTGCTTTCTCTCCTTCCTCCTAAAAAGATCATTTCCTCCTCCTCCAGCACAAAGAAAAGTTCCTTTTGGTTCATTCATTGGCAAAAAAAGTCTCAATTCCAGAAGATAACAAGATTTAGGGTGGTTATGTGACAGTGATGTTTTAAACTCTAACTTTTTATTTCCTTTGAGTGATAGCTAAGTTGCTGGGCAGAAGGCAGAATTGAAGATGCTCAGTTACGTTTATTCCCTTTTCATGTACTTAAAACCTCAAGATTTAGTTTAAGAATTTCTTTAATGTACATTTTCAGTTAATCGATCCCTTTATAAATAATAATTTAATGTTTTTCTAAACAATGTGTATTCATTATAGAAAATACAGACAATAGCAAAATAAAAGTAATAAAATTGAAATTATCCCTAATCTCAAAACTGTATGCTCATTATGAAAATATAAACCATATAGTTAAATAAAAATAATATTTAAATTATCCAAAAACTCAATATTGAGATAAAACCACTATTAACATTCCCACCTCTCTCTCTCTCTCTATATATATATACATGTACATATATATAGTATGCACATGCATTTTTTAACAAAAACATAAAAATATTGTACATGTTTCTTAACCTGCCGTTTCACTTAATAATATATACTGAACATTAATATTTCCCTAGTTCTTATTCTTCCACAATGTTATTTTAATGGCTAAATTATATTCCATTGTATGATTATATAACAGTTAATTTATCCAGTCCTCTCTTGGTGCATATTTAGGTGGTTTCTAATTTCTTTCCTCATAAACATCATTTTAGCAAACGCCCCCGTAGCCATAGATTTTCAAAGCCCTATGATCTTCCCACTCCCCTACACAACTTAGGATAAATTCCTATGAGTAGATTTGCTAGATCAAAAGATATGCAAAATACAAATTAAATCTTCTCATATGGATTGCCAAATGGCCTTTTCTGGACTTATTTTGATACTTGTATATTGCTTTTTAGTTAAAAGCAATGTGCCTCATGAGCTTATTCTGTCTTTTGTTTACTTCTTATGATCTCTGGGAATCCTGAGGGACATGGGATTTTATGAGCTGTGGTTGTGCTACAGGCTGACTGTGCAAGGAGAGCTGAATCCATGTCAGACGCACACTGGTATCTGCCTTGCTGTGGTTCATCTTTACAGCGAAGCCCCTTGAGCCTTCACTGTGGCCCCTTGGGAAATGGCCAGACAAGAGTTTCAAATATCAAGTCAAATGTCATGCCAGCAATAGCAAAAGGCCCGTTGTTGGTGTTTCAACTTTGAAAAGCCTAGTTGAAGTACCTGCCAATGGCAGACTTCTTGTCCGTTCTTAAGAATTAGATTTTTCACTGACAGCATTTCACAAATGGCAATGTGCTCAAAATACTTGCTATATAGACACTGCTAAAAAGAAAACACTGTAGAGGTAAGGGAGGTGTCATGGTTACTGTAAATTTAAAAGGGAATATGAACACATTATGATCATGGCCATCTTTCAATTATTCTTCCTAGCATGGTGCATTGCTCAATGTAGGTATTCAGTAAACATTTGTTGAAAATTGGATGGATAAGTGATGGATGGAATGTTGTCTGTGATTCTTGATGTGTAGAGATGTTTATGTATAGTTGTGGTACTTTAAACTCTAGTCATGGCCAGAGCACAGCTACCTTCTCTTTCAGTCTCACTTAAGTCTGCAAGAAGATCTGAGTAGAGTTAACATGTGAGTCAGAAAGGCTAAGACCAACCATTATTACAAATATTACAGTTCTGTCAATAGTTGTGAGTAAGGTGAGTGGGATGGCACAATTAGGTCTGGAAAGCTTGAATAATAATGATAATAGTGATGACCCTAATTAATTCTGGAACTTTTGGTGTTTAATTTTTTAGGGGATCAGATTAGCAACAAGTCTTGTGCAATGGGAAATGAGATCAGAAATCTTTTTGGAACCCTGCCTGATCTCTCTCTCTCTCACACACACACACATACACACACACACACACACACACACATGCACATCCACACACACTACTTCTTTGATGCTTTGCAGAATACATTAATTATTTGGCATTTTAAGAAAATAATCTGTGTCATTATCTATTACTGCAAAACAAATAACCCCCAAATTTAGCACCTTAAAACACATTTATTATCTCACAGTTTCTGTGGATCAGGAATGCACATTTGGGTTAACTAGGCCCACTGTCTCCAGGTGTCTAACAAAGCCAGTGTGATTTCAAGGCTTAACTTAGAAGGATTTGCTTCCTAGCTCACTCATCAGGTTGTTGGGCCCATGTTGAGCTGATGGCTCAGTTCTTCACGGGCTTTTGGTCAGAGGCTGTTCTGAGGTCATTGCCATGTGGCCTCTCCATCAAAGCTGACTTTGTCAGATTGAGCACATGAAAAGACAAAAGAGAGAGAGAGTACAAATAAAATGAAAGGAAGATACAATGTTTCATAACCTAATCAAGGAAGTAATATCCATCACTTTTGCTGTATTCAATTTTTTAAAACAAATCACTGTAGTGAGCCAGGACACTCAAAATGAGTAGGTTATACATGGGCATGAATACCAGGGGTGGAGATCCTAGGGGCAATCTTAGAGGTCTGTCTGCCACAGAATCCATGAGGTGTGTGGGTATCTCTGTCTCTGTCTGTCTGTCTGTCTCTCTCTCTCTCTCTCTCTCTCATCTATCTGTATCTCATCTATCTATCAATCTCTATCTATCTATCTCCTCACCTACCTGCCAGATTATGGGAAATATCTGCAGCCTAGACTAGCTTTCTAGACTTTTATCTTTGCAAAACTTATTATTCATTTCTCTAAACATTTCCTTATCTTCTGTATGTTTAGCATCACATTGAGAAGGATGTTATGGCGTCGTTACCAATAGGAACAACAACAAGACCAACAAACTTTTATTAGGAAATTTCTCTATGCAATGAACATGCAAGAACTGCAAGAATATTAAATTCATTCCATCCGTGTTTTCACATAATGAGCCTTTATTGTATATCCCCCATCTATTGTGTGCAAAGCATTTCAGAAATATAAATATGAACATAAATTTCTTACTAAATATTTGTTTAACGTCATTAAAAAGGCCCAGAGCCGAAGCTCATGGGAAGATTCTAGATTGCTCAGCAAAGAGGAGGTGCTTCCCAGTTTGTTTCCACTATATAAGTCCTTCCCCCAATAACTTTGCATAGCAGTGCTGCTGGGCTGACCTCCACAGGTGGAGGAACCTTGAGGGTTAGGCTACACCAGTGGTTATCAACATGTGGTGCTCAACCACCAATAGCAGCATCACCTGGAAACTCCTTAAAAATGCATATTCTCAGGCCTTACTCCAGACTCTCCAAATCAAAATTTCTAGGGGTAGAGCCTAGCAATCTGTTGTAAGAAGCCTTCAGGTGGGGAAAATGAAATAAGGTGGCCCATGAGACGCAGCTGGGAAATGCCTCGCTTACCGAGGGAAACCAAATATAAGGAACATGGCTGTGCTTTGGTCAAGGATAGGTCGAGGTAGGATGTTTATATTCTGCATGACTCAGCGAGTTTGTAGTGCAGTCATATAACTCCACTTGTTATCACAGCCATGTAGCCATAACATGGAAAGGCCATCCCTTGGACCTACGCCACTATTGTCTATAAAAGATATAATTGCCCCGCTAACACTTTACAGGCATGCTTGCACCCAGAGAGAAAGAGAGAGAGAGAGAGAGAGAGAGAGCAAGCGAGCCAGAATTGTCCGTCTTTGCAGATGGACAAGGGGAGCCAGGACACAGCTCAGCTCACTCGTGCCTAGAGAGAGAAAGAGTTAAGCTGCTGACCCTGAAGGAAGAGCCAGCCATGCAGCTGTGTGTGGAAGCCACCGGCTCAAGCAGCTGAGACGAGGTGGACGGTGAGTGAGCTGCTGATGAGAGAGCTACTGAATAAAACTACATTTCACCTGCCTACCCCGCCACCCCACCCGCTGAGCGTTCTTTCAGCTATCTGCTCATTCACCCACTCCCTTCAGACCTCTGCGTGAGCTGGAACCTGACCCTGAGCAGGACATTTGGTGTACTCGTGAACCTGACACCAAAATATCGAGTAAACCATCACACTTCAAACAGATCTTTTGAGAGAAAATACTGAAAGTTGATAGAGAGGAGATGCAGACACCAAAATTGAAGAGGGAGGAAGCTGGGAAGCTTGCACAGAGCTGCCAAGTGCCAGGACTGGCTCCTGATCCTAAGGAAGAGGTAAGTGAAGGAACTCCAGGGAACCACTCTCCCACTGTGGACCTCTGGGATCCTAGCAAAAAGAGATCCCATGACTCACATAGACATTTGAGTTTGCAAGGGGAACTCCCCAGAGGAAGCAGAGCTTAAACCTGTGTGGAGTCCAGAAGGTGTCATAGTGCCAGATGCAGCTTCAGTAAAATGCAGCCATAGGCACCCATCCCCCAAGGCTCTCCATCTTGCTCTGAGTGGCTCTAGCCCTGCTGATGGCCAGGTGGGGAGAAAGCAGAGCTGTCATTCCCACATAACTAGGGTGCACCTGATCCATGTGCCCACTTGCCTGCCATCCCCTCCCAAGACTACCTGCCTGGGTCTCCCACAGGAGGGTGCCCACAGCACAACCTCCAATTCCCTGCCTGAATGTTTTGCCTGCAGCCTGGGAGCAGTTCAGCACCCCAGCCCCCATCCTGTCAGCACAGCCAGTGTTTGACCCAATGGGCCAGCAGACAAAACTGTGGGCCCCATCACAATACCCCAGGATTTGAGCACACTGTCCAGGGGTATCCAGCTGAGATCTGTGGCCTGAGCTGAGGTTGGGGAGGAGCGCCCAGTTTCAGAACACTGAGAAGAGTGTGGTATAGGCTCATGTGCTGGCACAGGAGCTAGCTATCCCTCCCTGCACAAGACCAGTCCAGGAAGGGTGTAGCCTGTCATCCAGCCACAGATACTGCCTCAGGGAGCCCAGGTGTTCCAGGTGACAGTGCTCCCTAGAGGGAGCAGAAGGCTTGGGACAAGTCTAGCTTGTTGGGATTACTCCTGAGGCAGATGCCAGAGAGAGACCTAGTTGGGGGAGCGTGAGCTGTGTGGGCCACACAGATGTTTGCTGGGCTAAAAACCTCAGGCTACAGGTGCCATACAAGTTGCACAGCCATGGCACAAGGGCCCTGCTTGGGGATCCTCCACCCTTGGCCCAGTGCATCACAAGACCACCTGCAGACATACTCCACAACCTGCTCTGACTTTGCCAAGCTCAGAGGACTAGTGGGTTATTGGAGGAGAGTTGCAGGCCTCCTGGTGACCTAACCTTCAGCTCAGACTTCCCCTGAGGGAGCAGGGAGTGCAGCCTGCCAACGCCCCACTTAGGGCTAAGGAAATGCAGGTGTGGCGCCAGTAATTGTAGGGGGCTCTGCCTAGGCCCAGGAATAGACCTGATGAGGGAGTCATCTCTTGCCCTCCCTAGATCACCATTCTATATGCACTGAAATACAAAACAGATGCATGGATAAGTAAGAGTCCATCTGCTTTATATGTAAAGAGATGGCCCTTACTCTTAAGCGCCACTATTGAAAAGGGGCATATTACTTTAAAAGGGAACCCCATCAGGCTAACGGTGGGCTTCTCAGCAGAAACCTTACAAGCCAGAAGAGACTGTGGGCCTATTTTAGCATTCTGTTTTGTTTTGTTTTTTGACACAGTCTCACTCCATCATCCATGCTGGAATGCAGTGGCATGGTCTTGACCCACTGCAACCTCCACCTCCTAAATTCAAGTGATCCTCCCACCTCACCTCAGCCACCTGAGTAGCTATAATTACAGGTGCACACCACCACACCCAGCTAATTTTTGTATTTTTAATAGAGATGAGGTTTTGCCTTGTTGGACAGGCTAGTCTTGAACTCTAATTCACCTGCCTTGGCTGCCCAAAGTGCTAGGATTACAGGTGTGAGCCAACATGCCCAGTCCTATGTTAGCACTCTTAAAAAAAAAATTCCAACCAAAAATTTCATATCCTGCCAAACTTAGCTTCATAAATACAGGAAAATAATCTTTTCCACACAAGCAATCACTAAGGGAATTTGTTACCAGCCTTACAAGAGATTCTTAAGACAGTTCTAAACATGGAAACAAAAGAACATTTGCTGCCATAAAAACACATGAAAGCACATAGCCCACAGACCCTATAAAACAACTATACAATCATGACTATAAAGCAACCAGCTAACAACAACATGATAGGATCAAAACTTCACATGTCAATATTAACCTTGAATGTAAATGGTATAAATGACCCCACTTAAAAGGCACAGAGTGGGCTGGGTGTGGTAGCTCATGTCTGTAATCTCACCACTTTGGGAGGCCGAGGTGGGTGGATTGCCTGAGCTCAGGAGTTTGAGACCAGCCTGGGCAACACGGTAAAACCCATCTCTACTAAAATACAAAAAATTAGCCAAGCAAGGCAGTGTGCGCCTGTAGTCCCAGCTACTCGGGAGGCTGAGGCAGGAGAATTGCTTGATTGCTTGAACCCAGGAGGCAGAGGTTGCAGTGAGCCAAGATCACGATCACACCACTGCACTCCAGCCAGGACAACAGAGTGAGACTCTGTCTCCAAAAAAAAAAAAAAAAAAAAAGGTACAGAGTGGCAAGTTGGATTAAAAAACCGAGACCTAACTATATGCCGTCTTCAAGAGGCCCATCTCACAGGTAAGGACACCCACAGGCTCAAAGGAAAGGAGAAAGACCTATCATGCAAATGAAAAAAAGGGCAAGAATCACTATTTTATATCAGATAAATCAGATGTTAAACCAACAACCATAAAAAAAGGACAAAGAAGGTCATTACATAATGATAAAGGGTTGAATTCAACAACAAGATTTAACTATTCTAAATATATATGCACCCAACATTTTTTTCTACAAAAAGAGGAAGAGCCCAGACGAGATAAGTGAACATTAGTAATTTCATTTTACATAGATTTGGAATGTCATGATGGAAAGAGGGAAAACTAAATGACCGTTGGGTACTATGCTTACTACCTGGATGATGGGAGCATTCATGTCCCAAAACTCAGCATCACACAATATATCCATGTAACAAACCTGCATATGCAACCCTTGAATCTAAAGTCAAAGCTTACATTTTTTTAAAAGAAGAAACCTTCCAGGTGATTCCATTTAAGAACCACTCACTCAAAATATTCCTTCCTCTATTTCACAGTCAACAGTTTTTTTTCTTTTATCCCAGTTGTAGAAGTTTCTTGGATACAAATTTCAAGGTGGGCTTAGCCCCAAATTTCCCTAAAAGTTCTGACTTTAAAATGACCCTTTCTTTGATTCTCTTTATGCTGCCTGTTTCTTCTCTATCCATTTTCATTCTGCCTTCTACATAACCTACTGTACCACTGCACAGGCATTCTTGCCCTGGTCTTTTTGCTAAATGAAATTCAAGAAGCTAGCCATCTCAGGATGGGCAGAGATGCACACATAATCAAAGCATGGACAGAATGATACGAGTCCTAGTAATGATCAAGGTGGAGATAAATGTTGGCAGAATCCAGGGGAAAGCTTATTTTGTTCCAGCTGGAATGGGGAAGGTGTTACAGAAGAGATAGTACTTGATCTGAGCTTTGAAGGATGAGAAGTATTTTAATAGACTGAGAAGTGGGGGGATTAGTGTTCGGACATATACCTAAAGTTAGGTGCAGAGTTTTGTGCTTAGTGATAAGAGTATGCAGGTACAGTGGCTGGAATTTTAGTTTTTCCCAACTTGCAGCATATTCTGTTTTAACCTGGATTCTTTCTAATCTGCACCACCTCCCTTTTAAAAAGCCTATTTTTCAGGTTTTCCTCGCCTTTCTCATCTCACAGATATTCTGAATTTGCTTCTGCCTGAGACTAGCACCTAGCAAACAAATGGGAGTAGACACATTCCTAGCTGATGGAGATAATTTGAGAGTTAGTAGCCTGAACAAGATCATATGAAAGCAATTTCACTTTGGTTCTAGTCCAATAAGTCATCGTAGCAGGTTTATAATCTTATGGATCTGGGTGATGCGTTAAGGGGATTGGTTGGAAAAGAGAAAGAGAGTGGAGTGTTAAGAAAAGTTTTATATTTCCCAAAAAAGGGAAAGAGCCCAGAGGAGATAAATGAGCACTAGTGATCTTGTTTTAGATTTAGAATGTCATGATAAATTATAATGATTCTCAAACAGGGAAGATATTGCCTCTTTGGGACATTTAGCAATGTGTGAAGACATGTTTGATTTTAATAAAGGCAAGAAGGGGTGGAGGGTAGGGGATAGGGCATGCTACTGACATTTGGTAGGTAGAGGTCAGGGGTATGGCTAAACATCCTACAATCACAGAATAGCCCTCCTTCCAACACCAGATAATTATTCAGTCCAAAATATCAATAGGCTGATGTTGAGAATCCTGGATTAAAAGTACATTCAACATCTATTATAATAGATGGGCTAGTAAAAATAGTGACCCATCAAGTGCTGGCAAGGATGTGGAGAAACTGGATCCAATCACTCAGGTGCTGCTAGTGGCAATGTAAAATGATAATAGCTACTCAGGAAAACAGTTTGGCAGCTTTTTATAAAACTAAACCTGCAATTGCCATATCACACAGCAGTTGCACTCTTGGGCATTTATTTATCCAAGGGAAATGAAAATGTAGGTTTTCTCAAAAGCCTGTGCACAAATATTCAAAGCACCTTTATTCATAATAACCCAAAACTGGAAGCAACACAGATGTCCTTCAATGGGCAAATGGTTAAGTAAATTATGGTACATCCATACCATGGAATATTACTCAGCAATAAAAAGAATATGCAATTGATACACACAACAACTTGGCTGAATCTCCTGAGAATTATGCTGAGTGAAAGAGGCCAATCCCAAAAAATTACATATTACAAAATTCTCTTTGTATAACATCTTGACATAAAATCATAGTAAAGAACAGATTAGTGGTTGCCAGGTGTTAAGCGGAGAGGGAGCGTAGTAGAAAGGTGAGTTGGTTTTAAGAGGGCAACACTGTGGTGATGGAACTGTTCAGGATTATGCTGTAGTGATGGATACAAAAGCCTACCATTCTGATAAACTTGTATAGAACTAAACACACCCACACACACCCACACCCACACACCCACACACACACACACACACACACACACACACACGCACACATACATGAGTTCAAGGAAACCAAGGGAAATCTGAACAAATTCAGTGGATTGTAGCTATGTCAGTAGTCTGGTTGAGATGTTGTACCATAGTTTGAAAGATGTTATTATGGAGTAAAACTGGGTAAAAGTACACAGGATCTCTTTCTGTGTTATTTCTTACAACTGCATGGGAATCTACAATTATCTCAAACTAAAAACTTTAAAAAAATGAATTCAGATCCACATAGTTTGAAAATAATAATGTTTGGATTGTACAACCTTTCAGTAAATTATATCCTTTTTATGCGTAAGTTCATTGTGATTTTTGTCTTCTTTTCTCAAATAAAGTGTAAGCCCTCAAGGTAAAAAAAAAAAAAAAGCGTGTCCAACCTTATTGATAATTTCCTAATATCACTAGTTATAAAAATTATAGTGATCCCCTTCCACTGTACCATTTTGGTTGCAAATGCCCCTGTCTGTCCCTCCTACCTACACATGCTTCACTAGGCTAAGTAAACATTGTCTGTTGCCATCAATACAAATATAGCACTTGAAATAAGTTCATCCTTTACTAGACTGTAACTTGTGTCCAATATGCTATGATTCTTAGAACTAAACAATGATATAAAAATTAACCTCATTAGAGACTATAAATATGACTGACATTTAAACAAAATTGAAGTTTTAAAAATAGCTATCCCATTCCAAGTTTTATTTATTCAACATTTCTAATTAATATGTTTCTAATTAGAACTTGATGGACATCACCTATGTAAATGTCAGCCTAATGTGTTTGTTCTTCTGTTAATTTGCTAAATTAAGAATATATCTTTATTACCTTTAAGATGAACAGTGATTTGCCATCCCTGTTGCAGTGGTGCTAGTAGCTTTACCTCAAAATCAGCCACTATCATACCTCTGGTACTAATGAGAATTCAGAGAATGGCCTACCAAAGATATAAAACTTGCTTTGTAAAATGAAGGATATTGCTATTTCTGAAACCATAGAAGGTAGAAAGCAACAGGAGAAGATAAGTTTAGGTTTTTCAACTCTCTTCTGTTTGATTTATTTGACACTTAGAAGATAATTATAGTCTACGTGTCAAGCCAAGATGGAACGAGTGTCAGCATGATTTCAGAAAACATCTGGAAAATCACATAGGACAATGATATTGTGTATCTGTAAAATGTGAAAGAGAATTTCTCTTTATTCAGTGAGCAATATGGTAACTTAAGAAATTATCTGACACATTTTTTTGAGGAAAAACTAAAGGCTAAAAATCAACTTATCTCACTAAAAGTGATATTTGTTTTAAATAATGATTTAGATAAATAAATAAGCATTTCTTGTTGCCCCAAAATATGTTGAAAAATAGTTTCATGGTAGGGATCATTGTCTTGTTCCTATATTTAATGGACATGTCTATATTTTGCTATTTGGAAGAAGTTTGTTCTTGGTTCCTGATAAATATATTTACTCAAATTAAAGGCATAATTTTCTATTCACTACTTACGAATCATTTTATCATGAATTTGTGTTTAATTTTAGCAGATGAATCTGTTAAGATGATTATATGGGTTTTACTTTTTTAATTATGTAAATTGTTTTTTGATATTGATTTATCCTTGAATTCTTTGTGTACCATGTATATTCCTTTAAAATCCACTTTAATGTTCAATTTGCTAATGTTTGAGTTATATTCGTAAATGAAATTAGTCAACAGTTTTCTTTGAGGGAGAGGCATTGTCCTTATCTGATTTTCATATCAGAGTTAGGTTAGTCTCTCAGACATAAATTTGGACTTTTTTCCTTACCTTTGGAATGATTTAAATAGAATACACATGATTTTTATTTCCTAGACGATATGATAACCCTAATCTGAAGAACTATCTGATCACAGTGGCCTTTGTGGGGGAAGAAAGAATCTTGAGAATTTTAAATTTTTTTCCATGGTCTATTAAGTTTTTAACCCTATTTGGTCATATTTAATAATTTTTCTTTTCTTTTTTATATTTTATTTTCTAATTGACACCTAACATTTATACATATTCATGGGGTACATAGTGATGTTTGGATACATGTCATGTATGCTGATCATATCAGGGTAATTAGCATATCCATTATCTCCAACATTTATCAATTCTTTGTGTTAGGAACATCCAATGTCGTCCTTCTAGCTATTTGAATCTATAAAATATATTATCGTTAGCTATATTAGGTCTACAGTGCTACAGAACACTAGAACCCAGTCCTCCCATCTAGCTGTTTTGTATGTATCCTTTAACAAATCTCCCCCTATACCTCCCTTCTCCCTTTCCAGCCTCTGGTGTCCTCTGGTCTACTTTTTATTTCTGCGAGATCAACTTTTTTAAGCTTTTGCATATGAGTGAGGACATGTGGTATTTAACTTTCTTTTTCTGGCTTATTTCACTTAACATAATGTCCTCCAGTTACGTCCATGTTACCATGAATGACAAGATCTCATTATTTTTATGGCCAAATAATATTCCATCATGTGTATGTGCCATATTTTCTTTATCCATTCATCTGTTGTTGGGCACGTAGATTAATTCTATGTCTTGGCTATTGCGAATAGTGCTGCAATAAACATGGGAGGGCAGATGTCTCTATAGTATATTAATTTCCTTTCATCTGGATATGTACCCAGTAGTGAGATTGCTGGATCTTATGGTAGTTTTATTTGTAGTTACTTGAGGAACTTCCATACTGTTCTCCATAGTGGCTGTACTAGTTTAACATTACTATCAACTGTGTAAAAGGGTTCCTTTTTCTCCACGTCCTCACCAACATTTGTTATTTTGTGTCTTCTTGATATTAGCCATCCTAACTGGGATGAGATGATACTTCACAGTAGTTTTGTTTTGCGTTTTTCTGATGATTAGTGATGTTGAGCTTTTTTTTAAATTTTTTTCAAATATTTCTTGGCCGTTTGTATTTCTTCTTTTGAAAAATGTCTGTTAAGATCATTTTACCACTTGTTTTAAAAATTATACTTTAAGTTCTGGGTTACATGTACAGAACATGTAGTTTTGTTACACAGGCATACATGTGCCATGGTGGTTTCTGCACCCATCAACCCGTCACCTACGTTAGGTGTTTCTCCTAATGTTATCACTCCCCTAGCCCCCCACCCCCCACGGGCCCCAGTGAGTGATGTTCCCTTCCCTGTGTCCATGTGATCTCATTGTTCAACTCTCACTTATGAGTGAGAACATGCAGTGTTTGGTTTTCTGATCTTGTGATAGTTTGCTGAGAATGATGGTTTCCAGCTTCATCCATGTCCCTGCAAAGGATATGAACTCATCCTTTTTTATGGCTGCATAGTATTCCATGGTGTATATGTGCCACATTTTCTTAATCCAGTCTATCATTGATGGGCATTTGGGTTGGTTCCAAGTATTTGCTATTGTGAATAGTGCAGCAATAAATATACATGTGCATGTGTCTTTATAGTAGAATGATTTATAATCCTTTGGGTATATGCCCAGTAATGGGATTGCTGGGTCAAATGGTATTTCTAGTTCTAGATCCTTGAGGAATCCCCACACTGTCTTCCACAATGGTTGAACTAATTTACACTCCCACCAACAGTGTAAAAGTGTTCCTATTTTTCCACAACCTCTCCAGCATCTGTCGTTTCTTGACTTTTTTTTTTATTATTATACTTTAAGTTTTAGGGTACATGTGCACAGTGTACAGGTTTGTTACACATATATACATGTACCATATTGGTGTGCTTCACCCATTAACTCGTCATTTAACATTAGGTATATCTCCTAATGCTATCCCTCCCCCTCCCCACCCCACAACAGGCCCCGGTGTGTGATGTTCCCCACCCTGTGTCCATGTGTTCTCATTCTTCAATCCCCACCTATGAGTGAGAACATGTGGTGTTTGGTTTCTTGTCCTTGTGATAGTTTGCTGAGAATGATGGTTTCCAGCTTCATCCATGTCCCTACAAAGGACATGAACTCATCCTTTTTTATGGCTGCATAGTATTCCATGGTGTATATGTGCCACATTTTCTTAATCCAGTCTATCATTGTTGGACATTTGGGTTGGTTCCAAGTCTTTGCTATTGTGAATAGTGCCACAATAAACATCCGTGTGCATGTGTCTTTATAGCAGCATGATTTATAGTCCTTTGGGTATATACCCAGTAATGGGATGGCTGGGTCAAATGGTATTTCTAGTTCTAGATCCCTGAGGAATTGCCACACTGACTTCCACGATGGTTGAACTAGTTTACAGTCCCACCAACTGTGTAAAAGCATTCCTATTTCTCCACATCCTCTCCAGCACCTGTTGTTTCCTGACATTTTAATGGTCGCCATTCTAACTGGTGCGAGATGGTATCTCACTGTGGTTTTGATTTGCATTTCTCTGATGGCCAGTGATGATGAGCAGTTTTTCATCTGTCTGTGGGCTGCATAAATGTCTTCTTTTGAGAAGTGTCTGTTCATATCCTTCGCCCACTTGTTGATGGGGTTGTTTGTTTTTTTCTTGTAAATTTGTTTGAGTTCATTGTAGATTCTGGATATTAGCCCTTTGTCAGATGAGTAGATTGCAAAAATTTTCTCCCATTCTGCAGGTTGCCTGTTCACTCTGATGGTAGTTTCTTTTGCTGTGCAGAAGCTCTTTAGTTTAATTCGATCCCATTTGTCAATTTTGGCTTTTGTTGTCATTGCTTTTGGTGTTTTAGACATGAAGTCCCTGCCCATGCCTATGTCCTGAATGGTATTGCCTAGGTTTTCTTCTAGGGTTTTTATGGTTTTAGGTCTAACATTTAAGTCTTTAATCCATCTTGAATTAATTTTTATATAAGGTGTAAGGAAGGGATCCAGTTTCAGCTTTCTGCATATAGCTAGCCAGTTTTCCTAGCACCATTTATTAAATAGGAAATCCTTTCCCCATTTCTTGTTTTTGTCAGGTTTGTCAAAGATCAGATAGTTGTAGATATGCAGCGCTATTTCTGAGGGCTCTGTTCTGTTCCATTGGTCTATAACTCTGTTTTGGTACCAGTACCATGCTGTTTTGGTTACTGTAGCCTTGTGGTATACTTTGAAGTCAGGTAGCGTGATGCCTCCAGCTTTGTTCTTTTGGCTTAGGATTGACTTGGCAATGAGGGCTCTTTTTTGGTTCCATATGAACTTTAAAGTAGTTTTTTCCAATTCTGTGAAGAAAGTCATTGGTAGCTTGATGGGGATGGCATTGAATCTATAAATTACCTTGGGCAGTATGGCCATTTTCACGATATTGATTCTTCCTACCCATGAGCATGGAATGTTCTTCCATTTGTTTGTATCCTCTTTTATTTCATTGAGCAGTGGTTTGTAGTTCTCCTTGAAGAGGTCCTTCACATCCCCTGTAAGTTGGATTCCTAGGTATTTTATTCCCTTTGTAGCAATTGTGAATGGGAGTTCACCCATGATTTGGCTCTCTGTTTGTCTGTTATTGGTGTATAGGAATGCTTGTGATTTTTGCACATTGATTTTGTATCCTGAGACTGCTGAAGTTGCTTATCAGCTTAAGGAGATTTTGGGCTGAGATGATGGGGTTTTCTTAATATACAATCATGTCATCTGCAAACAGAGACAATTTGACTTTCTCTCTTCCTGTTTGAATACCCTTTATTGCTTTCTCTTGCCTGACTGCCCTAGCAAGAACGTCCAATACTGTGTTGAATAGGAGTGGTGAGAGAGGGCATCCCTGTCTTGTGCCAGTTTTCAAAGGGAATGCTTCCAGTTTTTGCCCATTCAGTATGATATTGGCTGTGGGTTTTGTCATAAATAGCTCTTATTATTTTGAGATACATTCCATCAATACCTAGTTTATTGAGAGTTTTTAGCATGAAGGGCTGTTGAATTTTGTTGAAGGCCTTTTCTACATCTATTGAGATAATCATGTGGTTTTTGTCATTGGTTCTGTTTATGTGATGGATTACGTTTTTGATTTGCGTATGTTGTACCAGCCTTGTATCCCAGGGATGAAGCCGATTTGATTGTGGTGGATAAGATTTTTGATGTGCTACTGAATTCGGTTTGCCAGTGTTTTATTGAGGATTTTCACATCAATGTTCATCAGGGATATTGGTCTAAAATTCTCTTTTTTTGTTGTGTCTCTACCAGGCTTTGGTATCAGGATGATGCTGGCCACATAAAATGCGTTAGGGAGGATTCCCTCTTTTTCTATTGATCGGAATAATTTCAGAAGGAATGGAACCAGCTCCTCTTTGTACCTCTGGTAGAATTTGGCTGTGCATCCATCTGGTCCTGGGCTGTTTTGGTTGGTTGGCTATTAATTATTGCCTCAATTTCAGAACCTGTTATTGATCTATTCAGGGATTGGTTAATCTTGGGAGGGTGTATGTGCCCAGGAATTTATCCATTTCTTCTAGATTTTCTAGTTTATTTGCGTAGAGATGTTTATGGTATTCTCTGATGGTAGTTTGTATTTCTGTGGAATCAGTGGTGATATCCCCTTTATCATTTTTTATTGTGTCTATTTGATTCTTCTCTTTTCCTCTTTATTAGTCTTGCTAGTGGTCTATCAATTTTGTTGATTTTTTCCAAAAACCAGCTCCTGGATTCATTGATTTTTTTTGAAGGGTTTTTTTTGTCTCTATCTCCCTCAGTTCTGCTCTCATCTTAGTTATTTCTTGTCTTCTGCTAGCTTTTGAATGTGTTTGCTCTTGCTTCTCTAGTTCTTTTAATTGTGATGTTACAGTGTCGATTTTAGATCTCTCCTGCTTTATCGTGTGGGCATTTAGTGCTATAAATTTCCCTCTACACACTGCTTTAAATGTGTCCCAGAGATTCTGGTACATTGTGTATTTGTTCTCATTATTTTCAAAGAATATATTTATTTCTGCCTTCATTTCATTATTTACCCAGTAGCCATTCAGGAGCAGGTTGTTCAGTTTCCATGTAGTTGAGCGGTTTTGAGTGAGAATCCTCAGTTTAAATTTGATTACACTCTAGTCTGAAAGACAGTTGTGATTTCTGTTCTTTTACATTTGCTGAGGAGTGTTTTGCTTCCAATTATGTGGTCAATTTTAGAATAAGTGTGATGTGGTGCTGAGAAGACTGTATATCCTGCTGATTTGAGGTGGAGAGTTCTGTAGATGTCTATTAGGTCTCCCTGGTCCAGAGCTGAGTTCACGTCCTGGATATCCTCTTAATTTTCTGTCTCGTTGATCTGTCTAATATTGATAGTGGAGTATTATAGTCTCCCATTATCATTGTTTGGGAGTCTAAGTCTCTTTGTAGGTCTCTAAGAACTTGCTTTATGAAGCTGGGTGCTCCTGTATTGGGTGCATATATATTTAGGATAGTTAGCTCTTCTTGTTGAATTGATCCCTTTACCATTATGTAATGGCCTTTTTTGTCTCTTTTGATCTTTGTTGGTTTAAAGTCTGTTTTATCAGAGACTGGAATTGCAACCTCTGCTTTTTTGTGCTTTCCATTTACTTGGTAGATCTTCCTCCATCCTTTTATTTTGAGCGTATATGTGTCCTTGCACGTGAGATGGATCTCCTGAATAGAGCACACTGATGGGTCTTGACTCTTTATCCATTGTGCCAGTCTGTGTCTTTGAATTGGAGCATTTAGCCCATTTACATTTAAGGTTAAAATTGTTATGTGTGAATTTGTTCCTGTCATTATGATGATAGCTGGTTATTTTGCCTGTTAATTGATGCAGTTTCTTCATAGCGTTGATGGTCTTTACAATGTGGCATGTTTTTGCAGTGGCTGGTACTCTTGTTCCTTTCCATGTTTAGTGCTTCCTTCAGGAGCTCTTGTAAGGCAGGCCTGGTGGTGATAAAATCTCTTAGCATTTGCTTGTCTGTAACGGATTTTATTTCTCCTTTGCTTATGAAGCTTAGTTTGGCTGGATATGAAATTCTGGGTTGAAAATTCTTTTCTTTAAGAATGTTGAACATTGGCCCTCAGTCTCTTCTGGCTTGTAGGGTTTCTGCCGAGAGATCAGCTATTAGTCTGATGGGCTTCCCTTTGTGGGTAACCTGACCTTTCTCTCTGGCTGCCCTTAACATTTTTTTTTCCTTCATTTCAACCTTGGTGAATGTGACAAGTGTCTTGGGGTTGCTCTTCTCGAGGAGTATCTTTGTGGTGTTCTCTGTATTTCCTGAATTTGAATGTTGGCCTGCCTTGCTAGGTTGGGGAAGTTCTCCTGGATAATATCCTGAAGAGTGTTTTCTAACTTGGTTCCATTCTCCCAGTCACTTTCACGTACACCAATCAAATGTAGATTTGGTCTTTTCACATAGTTCCATGTTTCTTGGAGGCTTTGTTCATTTCTTTTCACTCTTTTTTCTCTAATCTTGTCTTCTCACTTTATTTCATTAATTTGATCTTCAGTCACTGATATCCTTTCTTCCACTTGATTGAATCAGCTGTTGAACTTTGTGTATGCTTCACGAAGTTCTCATACTGTGGTTTTCAGCTCCATCAGGTCATTTAAGGTCTTCTCTACGCTGTTCTAGTTAGCCATTCATTTAACCTTTTTTCAAGGTTGTTAGCTTCCTTGTGATGGGTTAGAACATGCTCCTTTAGCTCAGAGAAGTTTTTTATTACCGACTTTCTGAAGCCTACTTCTGTCAACTTGTCAAAGTCATTCTCTGTCCAGTTTTTTTCCTTTGCTGGCAAGGAGTTGTGTTCCTTTGGAGGAGAAGAGGCATTCTGGTTTTTGGAATTTTCAGCCATTCTGCTCTGGTTTCTCTCCATCTTTGTGGTTTTATCTACCTTTGGTCTTTGATGTTGGTGACCTACAATTGGGGTTTTGGTGTGGATGTCCTTTTTGTTGATGTTGATGCTATTCCTTTCTGTTTGTTAGTTTTCCTTCTAGCAGACAGGCCCCTCAGCTGCAGGTCTGTTGGAGTTTGCTGGAGGTCCACTCCAGTCCCTGTTTGCCTAGGTATCACCAGTGAAGGCTGCAGAACAGCAAATGTTGCTGCCCAATACTTCCTCTGGAAACTTCATCCCAAAGGGGCATCTGCCTGTATGAGGTGTCTGTCGGCACCTACTGGGGGGTGTCTCCCAGTCAGGCTACACGGGGTCAGGGACCCACTTGAGGAGGTAGTCTATTCGTTATCAAAGCTCGTATGCCATGCTGGGAGAACCACTGCTCTCTTCAGAGCTGTCAGGCCGGGATGTTTAAATCTGGAGAAGCTGTCTGCTGCTTTTTGTTCAGATATTCCCTGCCCCTAGAGGTGGAATCTAGAGAGGCAGTAGGCCTTGCTGAGCTGTGGTGGGCTCCACCCATCTCGGGCTACCCTGCAGCTTTGTTTACACTGTGAGCATAGAACCGCCTACTCAAGCCTCAGCAATGGTGGATGCCCCTCTCCCTGCCAAGCTCCTGTGTCCCAGGTCGATCTCAGACTGCTGCACTAGCAGTGAGCAAGGCTCTGTGGGTGTGGGACCCGCCGAGACAAGCACAGGAGGGGATCTCCTGTTCTGCCAGTTGTGAAGACCATGCGAAAAGTGCAGTAGTTGGGCAGGAGTGTACCACTCCTCCAGGTACAGTTACTCACAGCTTCCCTTGACTATGAGAGGGAAATCCCCTGACCCCTTGTGCTTCCCGGTGAGGCAATGCCCTGCCCTGCTTCGGCTCACCCTCCGTGGGCTGCACACACTGTCCAACCAGTCCCAATGAGATGAACCACGTACCTCAGTTGGAAATGCAGAAATCACCCGTCTTCTGCATCTATCTCACTGGGAGCTGTAGACCAGAGCTGTTCCTAATCTGCCACCTTGGAGGCTACTGTACCCATTTTCCCACTTTTAATCAGATTGTTTTGCTGTTGAGATGTTTGAGTTCTTTGTATATTATAGATATTAATTCCCCAGCAAATGGATAGTTTGCAAATATTTTCTCCAATTCTGTAGGTTTTCCTTTCACTCTGATGATTGTTTTCTTTGATGTGCAGCAGCTTTTTAGTTTGATACAATTTATTTATTTTTGATTTTGTTGCCTGTGCTTTTGAGGTCTTATTCACAATATGTTTTCCCAGACCAATATCCTGGAGCATCTCTTCTATGTTTTTCACAGGAGTTTTATAGTTTTGGGTCTTACATTTAAGTCTTCACTGCATTTGGAGTTGATTTTTATATAAGGTGAGAGGTGGGGGTCTAGTTTTATTCTTCTGCATATGGATATCCAGTTTTCCCAGCACCATTTATTGAAGAGATTATCCTTTCCCCAATGAATATTCTTGGTGCCTTTGTTGAAAGTGAGTTGGCTGTAGATAGATGGATGAATTTCAGGGTTCTCTATTCTGTTTCATGGGTCTATGTATCTATTTTTTATTTATTTATTTATTTATTTTCGAGACGAAGTCTCGCTCTGTCACCCAGGCTGGAGTGCAGTGGTGCGATCTCGGCTCACTGCAACCTCCGCCTCCCAGGTTCATGCCATTGTCCTGCCTCAGCCTCCCAAGTAGCTGGGACTACAAGCACCCACCACCACGCCCAGCTAATTTTTTGTATTTTTAGTAGAGATGGGGTTTCACTTGTTAGCCAGGATGGTCTCGATCTCCTGACCTTGTGATCTGCCCACCTCGGCCTCCCAAAGTGCTGAGATTACAGGCGTGAGCCACCGCGCCCAGCCTATGTGTCTATTTTTATGACAGCACCATGTTGTTTTTGGTTGCTATAGCTTTGTAGTATGTTTGGAAATATGGTAGCATATGCCCCCAGTTTTGTTCTTTTTTCCCAGAATTGCTTTGACTATTTGAGGTCTTTTGTGGTTCCATATAAGTTTTAGGATGTTTTTCTATTTCTGTGAAGAATGTCATTAATTATGAAGAATTAATAGGAATTACATTGAATGTGTAGATTGCTTTGGGCAGTATGGTCATTTTAACAATATTACTTCTGATCCATGAGCATGAATGTCTATTTGTGTCCTCTTCAATTTCTTTCATCGGTGTTTTGTAGTTTTCCTTATAGAGGTATTTTTGTAGCTATTGTAAATGGGATTGGCTTCTTGATTTCTTTTTCAGCTAGTTCATTGGTCACATAGAGCAATGCTGCTGATTTTTGTATGTTGATTTTGTATCCTGCAACTTTACTGAATTTGTTTATCAGTTCTAAGAGTTTTTGGGTAGAGTCTTTAGGTTTTCTTTACGTGTAAGATTATATCATCTGCAAACAGAGACAATTCGACTTCTTCTTTCCCAATTTGGATGCCCTTTATTTATATCTCTTGCTTAATTGCTCTGGTTAGGACTTCCAGTATTATAATGAAGCTATTGGCACATAATTGTATTATTCTCTTGCATGTTTCTTAATGCCTTGGGCAAAGCATAATTTGAAAATGCTTATCTTCTTTCTATCAGCTATTGTATCAAAAAATATCTGGATTTAGAGAGACTGATATTCTGTCCTAGGTGTGAGAAAAATTGGGTCTCAGTTTCTCAAGTGTCCTCTACTTTCAGAAATCCTTGCTCTAAACAAGGATTGAACAAGTTAGAATTGGCAGTTACCTGGATAGCATGCATTGAAGAAAACCAAAAGCTTTTTTGCCCCAAATTCTTTATCTTGTCTTGATCACAATAAGTAGGAATACTACCACTTCTTTAGGTTAATACTTTGGAGACCCCAGCTAAAGTACAAATACGCTGTATGGGAGAGGTGTCACATTCTCCATTTTAACTTATTATAATTGTGTTTAGCCCTAACCAACCCATGAACACTTCTAGTTGGATGTATACCCATAGGTTTCAGATAAAAATGGGCTTACGTACTTGTTCTTGAGAAATTTATCAATGCTTATTGTTTTATTCCAGACTTTATATTCTAGATTTTATTCTATGCTAGACAACCTACACCTAATTGCTCCTTCATATTGGCTTTCCTTTTGATTTATGGTGTTTCATCCTGGATTGTAACCTTTGATTAAGTAAGGCAGAATCCCCAACTAAGGGCAGATTTGAGGATGCATTGATATCTACTGACCACAAATGAGCAGGTAAGCAATTAATTAGCAAGTAATAATGGCACAATCAGCATGCCTTCCAACAGCTTGGAAATTTAGTTGTTCCTTACTCTTGAACAACTAAATCTGTTGTCTAAGATACAACTCCCTGGATTCTTGGCATCCATCTACCTCCCTGTTGTAAATCTAGAGGATGATTAGGACTACTTAACAGTAAACCTAATAAAACTAATAAGTTCATTTTTCCTAATTCTATAAATTGGCCTCTGGAGACACCACTACATAGGGTATTTAGCTTAGAGGTAGCAGTCTGAAATTTAACTCAACATGTTTAACTCTTCATGCATTGTCTCCATTGGCTCTAAGATTGAGCATAATAAATATTGATCCCTTTACCTCACAGGGATTTTTTTTGTGGTGTAATGAGCTGCTTGTGTAAAGCTCCTTAGAGAATGCTACTGCTAAGATACAGCACTTCTAAATGCATGGAAAAAGAAATCAATAATGGCCTTATCAAATAAGATTAGTACAGAGTCACACATATCACCTTTTAGTATCCTGAGGAAAATCACACTTTTTTCCTGTTTACATCAAGGGAGCATTAAATACTTGATTCCCCTCTTCCCATTAGTCCCAGTAAGATAGCTGCAAGGAAATTACAACGTAGAAATGCCTGGATAGACTAAAGCCATGGACTGATTACACTCTGCTGTGCATGCTAATGCCTCATCCAGGATGGTTCCACATGGGGAAATGAAAGGGTTGCATTTATTCCATCCACACCCCTCAATAGCTCTGGTTGATTCTGACCTGTGCTGCCCAGCTTCAGTTGTCAGTTCCTAGAAGGAAAGAAGGCTGCCTGTTAGCTTATTTGATATCTGAGTCAAATTGACTTCCTAAGTTATATGTGCTATATTTTGATGTTCCCTTTGAAACATTTCAGAAAGTCTTCATGTTTGTTTCTATTTCACAATATTTAAAAGCTCACATATCTAATATATTAGCTTTGGTGTATATTTTAGAACAAAAAAAAGATGTTTGTGTTCAGAAGGGGTTAGCAAATAAATGCCTTTGTAACATATCCCAGGTCAATGTTTCCCTAACTTGAAAGTGCACACAAATCCCACAGGGATCGTGTTAAAATGCAGCCTGAGTAGTACTATGTGGGACCTGAGTAGTACTATGAGGTTCTGCATTTCTACACCACTCCCAAAGTAACGTCCACAGACCTCAACATGAGGAGGAAGGCTGTATTGTCATACCAAAATGCTAACTATTCTTTAAATGTCTTGGAATATTTTAAAAGGGAGAGAAAATAAGTAGGAAAAAGAAAGTAACAGTACAATAAAGGGAATATGTGAAGGTCTGGATTTGCAGACAACATCTAAGTGGTGGTAAACAACAAATACTTTATTACCACCAGGAAAAACATTCCAAGTTAAAGGTAAGGTGATGTTATAGGCCTGCATGTCCGAACATTTAAACTTTGTACAAGAGAATAAAACTAGTGGGAATAGCTGTAAAAGTTCTAAACATAGCTTCCATTCCAGTTCCCAGATGAGTAGTGATTTTTTCACTCTCTCATTGTTCCCCAGGTAATGAGGAAAAAAACCTCCTGAAGTGTGATATAAATGGCCTTCAAGAGGCATTAGTGTGTAAGGACCGAAAAAAAAAAAATCCTTTACTTCAAGTTTATTGCAGAGAGGAGCATTTCATATTAGCCAAAATGGGAATAGCAAAGGGTGAGGCAGAATTTTGCTTCTTAAGTGGGTCAATAGATGGACTATTCAGGTCTGTTCATAGTCATCCAAATGTTCTAAGGCGTGAGGGTGCATCAATGTTAGGTTGACTTGAATATTAGAATGAGGTATCAAGAGAAATCTTCCCTGATCTGTTTCCTTGAGGTGAGGAAAGGACTACTGGATGAATGTAAAAGGAAAAATTGGCATCTCTTCATCTTTGAGTAAAAAATGTTGAATACTTGGGCATAATAAAAATGATCACCAGGCAGGGAGTTAGAATATTTGCATTTCAATGCCAAAGCTGCTATTATCTAGCTGTTGGATCTTGAGCAACAGCTCTGAGTAAGTTTCATTCTTTAGAGGACTGCTCTAGATTAACATTTTCCAGTGTGATGGGATGTTAAGAGTTTTGTGGAAAAATGTTGCCCATGGTTAAATGAGGTAGGCAGATAGTGGGTTAAATAGACTTCAACAGGTTTTATTAGTGGCAAGCTTCTTAGATCCTTTGGATGGAGCCTCTGAATGTGGATAGCAGGGCTTCCCAAACTTATTTGATGTGGAACGCTTGTTTACAAGGACTACCTCGTAAGATTAATGTTCTATGGAACTTATACTGGGAAATGTAGACGATTTTGAAAGTTACTTCCAGTTTTAGCATAATGTTATCATACTACCAAAGTTAAATCAGGAATATATAGAAACCTACCTACATAAAAAACTTAAAAAACTAATATTGTCCTTTGGGTATATACCCAGTAATGGGATGGCTGGGTCAAATGGTATTTCTAGTGCTAGATCCCTGAGGAATCGCCACACTGACTTCCACAATGGTTGAACTAGTTCACAGTCCCACCAACAGTGTAAAAGTGTTCCTATTTCTCCACATCCTCTCCAGCACCTGTTGTTTCCTGACTTTTTAATGATGGCCATTCTAACTGGTGTGAGATGGTATCTCATTGTGGTTTTGATTTGCATTTCTCTGATGGCCAGTGATGGTGAGCATTTTTTCATGTGTTTTTTGGCTGCATAAATGTCTTCTTTTGAGAAGTGTCTGTTCATGTCCTTCGCCCACTTTTTGATGGGGTTGTTTGTTTTTTTCTTATAAATTTGTTTGAGTTCATTGTAGATTCTGGATATCAGCCCTTTGTCACATGAGTAGGTTGCGAAGATTTTCTCCCATTCTGTAGGTTGCCTGTTCACTCTGATGGTAGTTTCTTTTGCTGTGCAGAAGCTCTTTAGTTTAATTAGATCCCATTTGTCAATTTTGGCTTTTGTTGCCATTGCTTTTGGTGTTTTAGACATGAAGTCCTTGCCCACACCTATGTCCTGACTGGTAATGCCTAGGTTTTCTTCTAGGGTTTTTATGGTTTTAGGTCTAACATTTAAGTCTTTAATCCATCTTGAATTAATTTTTGTATAAGGTGTAAGGAAGGACTATAAATCATGCTGCTAATAAAGACACATGCACACGTATGTTTATTGTGGCACTATTCACAATAGCAAAGACTTGGAACCAACCCAAATGTCCAACAATGATAGACTGGATTAAGAAAATGTGGCACATATACACCATGGAATACTATGCAGCCATAAAAAAGGATGAGTTCATGTCCTTTGTAGGGACATGGATGAAATTGGAAATCATCATTCTCAGTAAACTATCGCAAGAACAAAAAACCAAACACTGCATATTCTCACTCATAAGTGGGAATTGAACAATGAGAATACATGGACACAGGAAGGGGAACATCACACTCTGGGGACTGTTGTGGGGTGGGGGGAGGGGGGAGGGATAGCTTTAGGAGATATACCTAATGCTAAATGACGAGTTAATGGGTGCAGCACACCAGCATGGCACGTGTATACATATGTAACTAACCTGCACATTGTACACATGTACCCTAAAACTTAAAATATAATAATAATTTAAAAAAAAACAAAGCTAATATTATTTTTAGTTTGTTGCTTTTTTAACTCAATGAAATCAGCTTTAAAAAGCAACGTTTTGATGTAATTTCAAAGTCAATGCACCTTATGTAGAATTTGATTTGAAGAACACAGATAAGCACAAAAATTTGCAATGATTAAGAGAGTCACAACTTTTAATATTTTAATAGAGATTTTTCCAAAAATTGAAGTATTTTCTGAATTAACTTTTTCATTTTCATCCTTAAGTCAAATTTTTATCTTCCATTTAGCAGGTTTCATGTTCTACTTTGTATATGGCAATGTCACTTTCACATTTGGCCCGTTTTCTTACGAGAACTTTCAAATACAAAAGTTTTCTAATACAAGGTGGAATATTGATAAAACATCATCAAAATGAAATAGTAATAGATGCAAGATAGAAAAATTAGCTTCATAGTAATGGTCAGATACATAATTCTTAGTACAATATTCTAAGGCTGAATATTTATTATACCTGAATATTCCCTGACAGTGACATCCAATTTATTTGTATATTTATTCCTTACCTTGATCCAAGCATAATTTATGATGATTATATATCTTTAATTTGACTCTAGGAATTAAAACTCATTGGCTTTCAGATATTGAAAACCAATAGCATCTTAATATCTCTAAGGAGAGAGAGGAAAACCTTCATTTTATAGATTCATCACAATAGCAGAATTAATTCTAATATCTGAATAATAGTCTTTATGTTGGGTGCTTTTATTGAAAAGGCTAGAACAAATTCTAGGAGATTTTGTTTATAACCCTGCCTAGAAACATGAGGGATACACAAAATAACCTCTGGCATTGCTTTTCAAATTGTTATGAACTCTTCCATTAGAAAAACAAGTTATTCAAGGAAAAAATAATGTTTCTTTTTTCTTTTAAAATGAGTTGTTTCCCCTTCAAATGGTGCAGTCATTATTTTCTGAGAAGCCTACCTTATAAAGTGTTATCACTGATATTTAAAGGACAAATCACAGGTTTTTGACTGCAGAGGCGTTTTATTGACTTTCTATGATTAAGGGATAAAGAGAAGATTGTGCAATTCCAGTCTTCCTTTGCCAGCTGCTGGTATTTTGATTGTAAATATCAAATTATATTTCCCTTTAGTGTTCTTCAAAAGAAAGCCCCAGCAAATATAAGAATTAGTGGTAGTAATAGTTCAGATGGTTTGCCATCAGCTGAGACCCCCCCAAATGGCTTAAGGACAAATGATCAGGCTCTCATCCTAAGAACTTTTATTTTTAATAATTGATGCCAAGTATGTGTTGCTGCCACTATTCCCCACTTAATTACTTTTTTTGATTAAACACATTAATGAGAAGAGACCTAATAAATCATGTGCAAAACAGTAAAGCAGTTAATTAACATGTGTTTCCCTGATTGATGGTGATAGAAAACCATAACAGTGCTGAGTAGGCTCACAAGGGCACCTTCAACTGATATCTTAAACAAACATAAGACTGAGAGCACAACAGAGGAGCTCCATTCTCATTTAAGAACTAGCTGTGACAACTACAGGTCATGAAGTGATTATAGTCCTCTTTTTTTCTCTTTGACTCAAGGGATCTATGCTCCCAGTTTACGGGATGTAAACAGTATATGGGAAACATAAACCAGCAAATGCTGTGGTAGGCTATTACTACTAATAGCCAGTACTTATTGAGCAGGTACTCTGCTATGTGTTTTAAAAGATTGTCTTATTTAACTCTTCACCAATGCATGTAGCTAGTGATCATTACTATTATCATTTTAGAGAGGAAAAACTGATACATATAGATGGTCCAATTTGCACAGCGAATAAGTGGGATAGCCCAATTTTGTCCCATAGTCTAATTTGATTCACTGGAAGATGGTTTTTCACATATTTTCAGCTAATTTGAAATTCTGTGTGAGAATCATTAACCACTATAGAAATCCCCAGAATCGGACAACCTGAGAACCAACAAGGGTTGAGGTAACTGGGTTTTATACATTATACCAAGAAAGAGTAGATTTCACAGTGTGATTAAAACAGAGCTACATCTTAATTTTGGTTGTGTGAGAATGGTGGACTGGGAGTGGAGGTTGGGGTTCTTTTTTGCTTCTTTACCTCATGTTCCAATTTTTTTGTGATGTGGTTTTGCTGCTTTTAAAGTGAGAAGCAATAGAAGCCAACGAATACATCCCTCCTCAATCTACCCCACTTAAGTGTGGACAGGTCCTGCCTCACCTAACGTAAATTTTTTCCCAGAATAGGTGACCAGATCAACTTCACTGTTCAAATAGGTTGCCTAGGCTTTTAAATCAGTTGTGGCCTCTGTAATCAAGTTTGCTGATGGCTGAACACTGTCTCTCCTGAGCTATGGATACCTGGCTGGCCAGTGTAGCTGACAGACATGCACAAAGACTTTCATCATTCCCTGCTTCCAGATTCTTTTCAAGAGCACTGGGGATAGCAGTATGGAGAAACCTTTGACAATCTCATATGGCATCTCTTTTTTTTTCCAACTTTTAAGTTCAAAGGTACATATGCAGCATGTGTAGGTTTGTTACATAGGTAAATGTGTGCCATGGTGGTTGGCTGCACATATCATCCCATTGTCTAGGTATTAAGCCCAGGATCCCTTAGCTATTCTTCCTGATGCTCTCACTCCTCCCACCTCCTTCCTGAACCTCTTTTAGGCCCCAGTGTGTGTTGTTCCCCAACCCCCATCGTGTTCATGTGTTCTCATCATTCAGCTCCCACTAATACGCGAGAACAGGAGGTATTTGGTTTTCTGTTCCTGTGTTAGTTTGCTGAGAATAATGGCTTCCAGCTCCTGTCGCATCTTTTTAATGAAGGGTTGCTAGGTATGTTTGGTCAAATAAGTAGGCATTGTTCTGAACTCACAGAGATTCAGATGAGGAAGGGAACTGATTCATTGTCTGTACCATCAAATCTCAAACGTTAGAACCTTCAGACCAGGGGCATTCTGTGTGTGTTAGGGAATGTTGGTGGGAATGCTAATATAAGTATCTCAGCTCTGGTGAATACTCCTATACAAGAAGAGAGAGAGTAGAGTTCTGGCAGCTGAAGTGAAGTGAACTGGGGGATCCTAAGGGATGCTCATGACCCAGAGAAATTCCTTTGGACAGTGGAGCGAGGTAAGGAGCTTCAGATGTGTCTTAGAATCAGACAAAAAATGTTCTAAGACATGAAAGGACCCATGAAGAAATAAGAAAGGAGACTGTAAGAAAATTAGAGAGGAGATTGGGGGGAAAGTTGCGTGTACTAGTTTGACTCTTGTTTATTAACAATTGGAAGACTTTTTTTCCTTCCCCATGGGAACACATGTTTGACCTCATTATAAAATCAAGAGAAAGAAAAAATTCATATTACATATGTAGTGCAAAGTACTTGTGTGTAAAGGACATTCAGGATGTGGTTTAAAAAGAAAACCAAGTCACCCTCTAACAAATTGAGGTGCCTATAAATTTAGATTCCATTAGTGTAGTGGTTCTTAGGTTTTGGGAGAAGGTGGTGAGGACAAAGATCCTTTTAGGAATCTGATGAAAACAATCAAACCTTCTCCACAGATAAAAGTACATATATTCATGCACATGAACTATTGCACTTAATTCTGGTGGTTTTGCATGCTATTTATGGCCTGTCCATGAATCCTGATAGAGGACATCAGCATTGCTGATTGCTCACTGTGTTACTCCAGGTTTCCTCCTTTCCCCTATAAGTGTGTAAAATGCTGCCATTCTGCTCTGGGCATCCATGTGTCTTTTCATCTTCTATGCACCCATCTCATCTTTCATTCAATATTTGTTGGCTCCCACTTTAGAATAATAAACAAGCCTGCTCAGGCTTCATTTCTGTACACAGTGGACTATGAAGGGATATGATCTTCCTTTTTCTGTGATCAATTGCAGGTATTTGTTTATATGAAAGGAAACTGTTTCAGATTTTAAAAGGAAAAATAAAATCTTTCCAAATTGAAGAAAATAGAGATTTTCCCCTTCACATTGGATGGTATGGTGAGAAGTGGAAAGTGGGGGGAAATTGACGTGAACTTATCTGGTTGTTTCCTGCTGTTCTATTACATAAGAACACATTTTCAGCGTCGTTTTTTACAGGGATCCAGATTGATAATGAGATTGAAGCAATACAGTAGGATATTCTAGTCTTAACATGCTTTGCTTAATAAAAATAGCCCATAATAATCCTTAGGCCTAAGTGGCTGTGTGTGTACAACTACCTTGATTACAACAGCCAATCTGGAATTTTTGTCATGATGTACAATCCGTTATATATTGACTAGGTCTGATCTTATCATTAGACCATCAAATTTCCCAACTCACCGGGCTCTTCACAGATTATTTCAATCTCTCATGTATGGTCAGATAATCAAAATCCAACCACTCTACCCAGCAGAGATTTATTGTTAGTTACCCTGCAGCTGCTACAGTTTAGTATGGCTTGGAATACTTTACGCCTCCAGCTGCTTTGTGTAATGGTGCAGCTTGTGTCCTTTTGGGCTTAGGGGGTTTGAGTAGGGGCTGAACTCTAACCAGAACTCACTGACTGTATCTTATCACTAGCTACTCAAACACCTCAAAATGTAGTGTCTTCAAGAAATGACCATTGCTTTTTCTCATGATTTTTATAGATTGGAAATCTGGGTTGGGCTCAGATGGGTGATTCTTCTGGGCTTGGTGGGCTTAGCTGACCTTGGCTGGCTTACTTTAATATCTACAGTCAGCTGGTGGGTGGGCTGAAGCTGGCTGGTTTAGGATGGCTTCAGCTGGGATGGCTGGGATGGCTGGGATGGCTGGGATGGCTGGGATGGCTGGGATGGCTGGGATGGCTGGGATGGCTGGGATGGCTGGGATGACTGGGGCCTCTCCCCTTATAGTTTCTCATCATCCATCTGGCTAACTTGCACAGTAACAAGGGTTATTGAGAGAAACAAGAGGGAAAGCCCCAATGTATAAGTATTTTTCAAGTTTCTGCTTACATTATGTTTGTGAAGGTCCTACTGGCCAAATCAAATCTGAAGGACAGTCCAGAATTAGTGTGGGAAGGCAGTACCAAAGACTATGAATAGGAAACAAATATTTGTAGCCCTTGTTGCAATCTACCACACAAAATCATGGCACTGGTCTGAAGCTGCATCAGTGTGGAGGAGTGGACACCTTTTTCTAGATGGCTCACCCATTATGTGTGTATTTTCATAATTCATTAGCCCAAAGTGGATACCTCTTTCTACCACTCACAGAGGCAACATATGTGCCAGCAGAGACTGATTGCACCAATATATGTTTTCTTTTACTAAATACATTGTAAGCAGCAGATAAAATCCCCAAGGATATTTTATCCTTTGTCCTTTTTGCAGACTTGCTAAAGCAAGCAGGCGCAACAATAAAGACTGCTTCTTTACATTTTTAATGTTCCTTGAGGAAAGATGCATGTCTAATTCAACACTATAAACTCCACAACCTTTAGCATAGCATAGAATTTGGGCTCAAAAATATTTAATCTAACTTGTTAAATTTTTGTTATTAACATCAGTTACTGGCTTGACCCTAGAAACATATAGATCTACAAACCACCTGAATCAGGATCACCTGGAGTGTTGTTAAAATGCAGATTGTGAAAATGAGGTCCCACCTCAGGTCTAGTGTACCAAAATCTCTGCTTGGGGCCTAGAAATTTATCTTTCACATACCCATGTTCTTCTTATTTACATTAAAGTTTAAGAACCACTGCCTTAAAGAAGTGGCTTTTGCAACTTTCCTACCTCTATCCAAGGTAATAAATAATTTTTACATTTCAATCACGCACACAGACACACACACACACACATATATGTAAAGACAGATGACTTAAAAATGATTTTGAGGAGAAAATACCCTAAGTATAATAGATATTTTCTAATTAATTTTTTAAATGCTGATAAGTGGTTCAGGTATATTTCATAATCCAATGTGTCATAACCTGGATTTTGAAAAACACAGCTTTGGGGAATATGCTTATAGTACATTTATTTAAACATTTTTGTTTCTTCTATGGATACATGGCTAATATATATAATGCCTTTCCCCTAATGCGTAATAAATGCCTCTTAATATCCAGTCCCCTGTACCAGTGGCTTTCAGAATCACCTGGCACACTTGTTAAAGCACAAGTTTCTGAGACCCGCCCCTAGAGTTTCTGATTCAGTTACACTGGGATAAGGCCAAAAATTTGCATTTCCAACAAGTTCCTGGACTGATGCTGCTTCTCCAAGGACCACGCTTACAGTCCCACTGCTCTGTATATTTCAGTCTCCTTTATTTGATCCACAAACCTAAGGAAATTCTCAAGTTTCCAGACTGATTTTTATTGCTGATTTCTAACCATATTTACTCCATTTCCTGATTGTTTTATTACTGCCTTTCAGCTACATTTGCTTCAGCTGGCTTTCTACTCACTCAGACTTAGCTTGCATTGTGTAATGAACATATTGGATTCAGCTGGTGTTTCCCTAAAGCCTGCCAAGTGTACTCCAACCATTGTCTTACTGGCATGTTTCCTGACTATGCTAAAGCTGCTCTTTTGGTTCCTCCGTTTCTTCAGAATGTGGTAAGGTAGCTCAAGTCCCAGCCTAGCGGTGCTGTTTGTTCTGTAAAGTTAGATTATTGTCATCTCAGACAGCAGATCAGTCCCTCACAGATGTCATTCTGATACTATTAATCATTTCTTCCTCCAAAGGTCTGCTAGGTCTCAACCTGACTCTACTGGCCTGGGGAAAAGAAATGTGTATTGTGCCTTATGCTATTTGGAAATTTACTACAAGCAGAGAGTAGAACATTCTTGGAAATTTTATGTGTAGTGAGAATTGGACAACGTAGCAAGTTGTTATATTGGCTTCTTTCCTCCCAATGCATAAATGTGGCTTTTGTTCTAGCCATTCTATTAGGTTCGTGCAAAAGAAATTGCTGTTTTTGCCATTGAAAGTAACGGGAAAAACTGCAATTGCTTTTACAAGAACCTCATAGTTTGTCTTGGCTGTGAAGAAAGAGGAAGGAAGACACTGAGTTATGTCTAGACCTCCCTGAAAATTCTCTATTACTCTAGTTTAGAACAAACCAGCTTTAACTGTTTTAATGCAAGGGATAGGGGACTCATCCCTATACTGAGGACCCTGCATTCTGGAGGAATGGTAGGCAATCATCCTCTCTTGGTCATGGTAAGCTGATTAACGCCTTGAGTGCTTCCCAGGGAAAGATAATTTGAAAATCTTATATAATCATTTATTTTCTCTTTCTCTCCCACACTTGTGGCCAGAAGATTCCTAGGGCCAGAATGGTACTGCAGTGGTCATAGCAGTTGATACTAATAACTTCCTTTAAAATTTCCCAAGGTTCTTTATTAAAAAGAAAAAAGTTTATTTAACCTTTCCACATAGTCATCTGGAAGCAAAATCATATGAGACATTTAGTTCAACAACATAAAATATATACATGTCCGATACTCACCAGAGAGCTTATTTTTGAATTGAGATGTAGCTTTGGCCAAAATCATGGTCAAGAAGGATTATACTTGCAAGAGACAGTCTAGGTTATCCACCAATAATTCTAGGATCTCATATATGGTCAGATAATAAAAATCTAACCACTCTCCCCAGCAGAGATATATTGTTGGTTACCTTTCAGCTGCTATAGTTTAGTCTGGCCTGGGATACTTTGCACCTCCAGTTGCCTTGTGTAACGGTGCAACTTGTGTCCTTTTGGGCTTATGGGACTTGAGTAGGAGCTGAACTCTAACCAGAACTCACTGGCTATATTTATTATCACTAACTGCCCAAACACCACACAGTGTAGTGGCTTCCATTTAAAGTAGCTTGTGTTAAGTCTTAGATCTCCCGAAAGTAATGCATTCAGATAATGTTATCTTGGATGCAGTAGAATCCTTCTTTGGCACATCACCCCACTCCCACCCCAATAGTAAGAGGCATCCTCCTGGCAACGATTTTCTGTGATGTGGCCTAGGCTTCCCATGCACAGCTGATCAGCCAGACTTGAAGTTGTGACCTAAACTGGACAAAAAAGAGGAACTTCCTTGAAAATTTGGAATTGGAATTGCAATTCCAATTTCTACCAGGACTGCTAGCTTAAAAAGAGAAAATATATATATATCCATGAGTGGTGATATGATACTGTTTTTCACTATGTGGATTGGAGAGCAGAGAAACCCAGAAGAGAGATACAGAAACTTAGATACAAAGAAAGAGAAGGAAATCAAGAAGACTTATAGAGGGATGCAGAGATGAAAAAATGGAGACAGTTCAGATGGTGTCTTAAGCACTTACTCTAATCCATTCCCAAGGCCTTTGGGATCCATGTTATTATATCTTAATAATAAATGGTCGCTTTTTTCTTATACTAATTGGGATCCACTTGAGTCCATTTCTGTTGTGTGCAGCCAAAGGAGTCGTAAGTAGAAGAATGTCTTCTCTGAACTACTGTCTGTACAAGCTATCTTTCAACTTGTATCAGAATCCTCAAAACAAGATTTTGTATAGAGATATGGTTGAAGTAGTCCAATTCATTGTATTGCTAGCTAGATGAAAAGTCTTATACAGCCTTATATCCTATTTGTGTGGGTGTGTTTCTGTGTGCATACAATGTTACATTTTTATCTACCAAAATGTTTACCTTCTTCTAGTCATCTGACAAGTGTTTAAATTGAGAACCTGCTATATGCAAAGTATTATAATAAGCCCTGGTTCTTAAAAAATGATGATTTCTTCTGTTGGTGATAGTTTTATAATCTATAATGTTTCCTTAATTATCCTGTTTGCCAGGAAGCTCCCAGCTAAATTTATTTGTCACTATGGTGATAATTTCATATCATTTCATTATTTTCTTCCTGTTATAGCCTCACTTTCTTTATATGATTCCTCACCACAATTTCAATTCCCTTAAACTAGCCTGTGTTTACATATCTATGCATTTTTACTTTAAGATGGCCCCAATATTTTGTGAGAAGGTGGGCACACATGAATACATTATTTGGAATTGGTTCTGTTAAAATTTGACTCCATTTGGCATTTGGGTTGGTCCTTAGAATGGAGGTGATGTTAACTTAGGAGTCACAACAAGATATGGCCATATTTTCTGTCACATGCATGAAGGAGAAAATATCAGGAGAGGGAGGGAAGGAGAGAGAAAGACACACAAAGAATGCCGGAATGAGAGAAGACAGAAGTAGGCATGCAGAGAAAAAAAAAAAGGCAAGTGGAGAATGTAACACTGAACTGTGCTTTGAAACATTCACATTCATTCTTTAATTTATCCTCCAGAGATCTATTAGAAGAAAATATTCTGAGTGCTGAATATCAGAGATAGTTTGCTCTGTTTTCACAGCATTACTGGGGACCATCGGTAAAACCTTCTTTAATTGAGTCAGATTTAACATTGCAGAACCAGAATGGTTTTTATTTTTGGTTTGTTTCCAGACTAGTTTTCAATGGATCTTTTGGCTTTATTTTCTTTTTATCAACTTTTATTTTAGATTCAGTGGGTACAAATGCAGGTTTCTTACCTGGGTATGTTGCATGATGCTGAGATTGGGGGTACAGATAATCCCGTCATCCAGGTACTGAGGATAGCATCCAATGGTTAGTTTTTCAACCCTGACTCCCCCTTCTCTCCAAGTAGTCCCAATTTCTATTGTTGCCATCTTTATGTCCATGAGTACCCAATGTTTACTTCCCACTTTTAAGTGAAAACGTGGTATTTGGTTTTCTATTCCTGTGTTCTCAGGATAATGGCCTCTAGCTGCATCTATGTTGCACAAAGGATGCAATTTCAGTCTTTTTTATGGCTGCATAGTATTCCATGGTGTATAGGTATCACATTCTCTTTATCCAGTCCACTATTGATGGGAACCTAGGTTGATTCCGTATCTTTGCTGTTGTGAATAATGCTGTGATGAACATGTGAGTACACATGTTGTTTTGGTAGAAAGATTTATTTTCTTTTGGATATATACACAGTAATGGGATTACTGAGTCAAACGGTAGTTCTGTTTTAAGTTCTTTGAGCAATCTCCAAACTGCTTACTACAGTGGCTGAACTAATTTACGTTCCCATCAACAGTGTATGTGTTCCCTTTTCTCTGTACCCTCACCAATATCTGTTTTTTGATTTTTTAATAATAGCCACTCTGACTGTTGTAAGATGATATTTCATTGTGGCTTTGATTTACATTTCTCTGATGATCAGTGATGTTGAGCATTATTTCATGTTTGTCTGTGTATATGTCTTGTTTTGAGAAGTGTCTGATCATATCTTTGCCCATTTTTAATGGGGTTATTTGTTTTTTGTTTATTCAGTTGTTTAAGCTCCTTACAGATTCTGAATATTAGACCTTTGTCAGATGCATAGTTTGCAAATATTTCCTCCAATTCCGTAGGTTGTTTGTTTACTCTGTTGATAGTTTCTTTTGCTGTGCAGAAGCTCTTGAGTTTAATTAGGTCACACTTGTCAATTTTTGGTTTTGTTGCAATTGCTTTTGAGGACTTACTCATAAATTCTTTCCCAAGGCAGATGTCCAGAATGATGTTTCCTATGTTTTCTTCTAGGATTATTATAATTTGAGATCTCACATTTAAGTCTTTCATCCATGTTGATTTTTTATATCTGGTGAAAGTAGGGGTCCTGTTTCATCCTTCTGCATATAGCGAGCCAGCTATCCCCAGCACCATTTATTGAATAGGGAGTCCTTTCTCCATTGTTTGTTTTTGTCGACTTTTTGAAGATCAGATGGCTGTAGGTGTGGAGCTTTATTTCTGTGTTCTCTATACTGTTCCATTGGTCTATGTGTCTGTTTTTGTACCAGTATCATGTTGTCTTGGTTACTATAGCCTTATAATATAGTTTGAAGTAGGGTAACGTGGTATCTCCAGGTTTGCTCTTTTTGCTTAGGATTACTTTAGCTATTCGGGCTTTTTGTTTGGTTGGTTGGTTGGCTGGCTCCATATGAATTTTAGAGTCGTTTTTTTCTAATTCTGTGAAAAATGACATTGGTAGTTTGATAGTAATGTCTTCAATCTGTAGATTGCTTTGGGCAGTGTGGCCATTTTAACGATATTGATTCTTTCAATCCATGAGCATTGAATGTTTTTCCATTTGTCTCATCTATGGTTTCATTTAGCAGTGCTTTGTAGTTCTCTTTTTAGGGATGTTTCACCACCTTGGTTAGATATATTCCTAGGTATTTCATTATTTGTGGCTATTATAAATGGGACTGCATTCTTGATTTGTCTCTCAGCTTGAATGTTGTTGGTGTGTAGAAATGCTACTGATTTCTGTACATTGATTTTGTATCCTGAAATTTTACTGAAGTCCTCACTTTGATTCAGATCTATGTTACTGGATTCCACATTTCATCTACTGGTCTAATTAATGCCTGGGTGGCCTCTCTCAGCCTCACTAAGCCTTTGGTATTCATTGCATATCCCAAAGCCAGAAGTAAGTCAGTATTAGGCCTGCATCTGATGGTATCTCATTGAGGTCAATAGCGAGTTATGGGATAGGGATGATCACTTGGGACTGGCAGCTGGCAAAGCAGGAAAGCTAGCAATTTAGAGTGAAAATCCAGCTGCCCATTCTCTTGAGCTCTTCGACATTTTAACAATGGATGTTTACTGGCAGGGAAACTGAGGCCTGTCCAGAAAGAATGAATGGAAGATAGAAAATCACCCAATCTTTATTACTAAAATTAGAGTTGTATTACTTATCTAAACTGGATATTCTAATAAGCCAATTATATGTTTATCTGGAGTTTTCCTTCACTATGTGATTGTAAATGAGTTCCATAAGATCCATAAAAATACTCTTATTACTTCAGATCCTGAAGAGTGATTACAATGTATGGTAATACAAACAAAACACACATGTATGTGCATACACACTCCCTCTCGGTGGTGAAATTTTCTTCTGATTCAAGGAAGTTTAGTCATATTTATAAGTCCATATTTTAGCCCACTTTAACATCTAAGACTGCACTGTAAATACTGCTTTAGAAAGTTGAAAGAAAAGAAAACAATGTTTCTATTTTATAGAATTGAATACAATTAAAATGTTTATATATACACACAAAAGCAAGTAGGGCTAACCACTTGGTTTAATTACACATTCCAGATTTTTCAAAAATGTGCTTTAAATCCTAATTGGTGTTTTAAAATCTGAGAGTAAACTTTCTATGATGATGAATGAAATTCTAGAATCTGAAGAAAACTTACTTGATATCTCATCATTAATTACAAATAACATATATGCCTGGTGAACACAATTCAAAATTAATTTTGGTAAGAATGCCAAAAGAATTATTTATTGGAATTCATTGTGTCTGGTTACATTAGACTCTATATTGGAAGTAGATGCATATTTAGTATGCATAATGAATTAGGTGGGTTGTTCCATTTATAGGCAACTATTACATGATTTCTTTCATCTCCAGGATGCTCTAATATGTTCATAGGATTGTTCAGAATCATGTTCTTCAAATTCAAATGCTTGAGCAATGCAGGAAGTGGAGGGTGGGGAAACTTTCACCAAAGCAAAAATCCTCTCACCCAACTTTAAGTCAACCCTGGTTATAGGGCAATTGATAAAATTTGTCTTTCAAATGTTCTTATAAGGTCTTACAGAGATGGCTAAGATAATGCATATAAAAGCTAGTAATGGACCCTAGAAGAGTTCATTGGTATATGAATATTTCTAATTACCAATATTATATTCATAAGTATAAAATATAGAACATCTCAGCCAGGGGCCCTAAAATTGAAGGTCCTAAAATTGAGCATGTCATCAGCAAAGATTTTTTTTAATCATTATCATAATTGTCACCACCACCACCACCACCACCATCATCATCTTTGTTGTCATCATAGGGTATTTTTTATGTGCCAGGCATATATTTAAGCAGTTCACTTTCCATATCTTATTTAATTCTCACACAGACCCTGTAAGTTAGATATTATTATTATTTTCCTTTTACAGGGGGAACAAATTTAGTCCTAGAGCAGCTGAATATATACCACTAGAGTCCAAATTATGCTGTCCATCCAGTTATTTGCTATTACAGAGTCAGCAATCCTAAATGTTCCTGACTTGGTATTCTTCTTAAAACATTAGAAGTTTAAAGCATGCAACAAACATTTGCTAGATTGAAAGGCAACCCTCTTCCAATACGAATCATGAAAGAGATACCTGAATGTAATTTAAAGGTCTTTTTACCATTATCTGACTAGTCAAGAAGGCGCCCAGTTATCAAATTTGCTGTGCACACACAGGCTAGGGCATAAAATAGAAAGCTCTCTCTTGTCACGCACCCTTTGTTACTATGCCATACAGTTTTTCCACATGGACATCACAATGCTGGAACAATGCAGAAACTGAGATGCAGATTTTAGAGCAGGATGGCCTGAATTATTCTAGATCTTGACTGAACTACTTGCTACCTGTGTGACTTAGGCCTAACGTGACTATACCTCAATTTCCTTATTTACAAAATGGATATAAAAACAATATCCTACTTCATAGGGTTATAGTAAATATTAAATTTGATGCTACATGCAACACACTTAGAACTGTATGATAAATGTTAACTTGCATTATCTGACTACAGTATTCATCTCTTACAAGAAAACTGTCCTCTGAAGGCAATCATTGGCCATTTGCTGTCTCTAAAACCACTGGCCTCTAAATGACAATAAACTCCTTAAGAGCAGGTACCTGGCATAACTACCTTTTTATTTGTTAGAACTCAATAATGTCTTATTGCATTTTTAAAAAGTGTGGATGATAAGTGTGATGGTTAATACTGAGTGTCAACTTGATTGGATTGAAGGATGCAAAGTATTGCTCCTGGGTGTGTCTGTGAGGGTGTTGCCAAAGGAGATTAACATTTGAGTCAATGGGCTGGGAAAGGCAGACCCACCTTTAATCTGGGTGAGCACTATCTAATCAACTGCCAGTGTGGCTAGAACATAAGCAGGCAGAAAAATGTGAAAAGAGAGACTGGCCTAGCCTCCCAGCCTACATCTTTCTCCCATGCTGGGTGCTTCCTGCCCTTGAACATCAGACTCCAAGTTCTTCAGTTTTGGAACTCAGACTGGTTCTCCTTGCTTCTCAGCCTGCAGACGGCCTATGTGGGACCTTGTGATCATGTGAGTTAATACTTAATAAACTCGTATATGTATTTCATATATACATATATCATTTGTATGTATATATATTCCATTAGTTCTGTCTGTCTAGAGAACCCTAATACGATAAGAAAAACATTTTCTTTTGTGCCTTTGTCTATCTTGCACTAATTTTACAAATTTCAAAAGTGGAGTCATGTTGATATAAAAATAGCTGCTATACTCAACTAATGATGCAAATGGAAAATGGTCTTCAAATTACTTTAAAGCATCTCCTAACACTTTGCATTCCTTGAGGAAGGGTTTTACTTCAACCTAGTCAATCTTTACTGCTGGTTAATGCTCTGGACTTTCTTTGCAATTTTCAAGAAACACCAAGTCAAGAATACTTAAGGTTGTTGACCTTATGTTAGCAGTTAACCCAACTGGATGGAGAGTAGAATTTGGGCATAATTTCATGAATGCATAGGGATATGAATGATTTTACATAAAGAAGATGTGAGAGTAGCATAGAGGGATGGAGTTCTTGGCAAAGTCTTTCGGTTAGACATTAATTATAAACCCAAAAAAGGAGTGAGCATGGCTTTTGTAACAACCAGAGAGATTAATTTGGTGTTGATAATGTTAGTCTAAAAACCAAGTGCCTAATGGCTTCGTGGACTTAGATGTATAGAGGGACACTATGTCATGTTGGTGATGGGATCTGTCATCTCTGAAGGGCACATAGTTAATAAGGTCATATCAAGCCACCATCTTAAGGGCTGATGCAATTAAAATCACATTTGGAAAGCAGTTTATTGGTCGACAGCAGCAGAGAGAATAATGTTCATTTCGGTAAATACCTAAGCTTTCTTCCAAGGAGTTCAAATGTTCTATTTATACTCAGATAACACAGACATCTCAAATTTCTCTACTGTAAACATACACCCTTAAGCTCATGCTAAAATAGCACTTGGTCTTAAAAATGTTATCCTCTTGGAAACCACATGGTTATAGATACTTTTGTTTACTCTGATTATTTCCCAAGATGGGCATCCTTATTACTGCATGCCCATTGCCCAAGAATCAAAGTTGTAAGCATCACTCTTTCACGTACCTTGTTCCATCTCCACTTCATTGTCAGGCAAGCATAACTCAGAATCATCACTTGAGTGTGAGGTTATCTCTAGGTTTACGAAGCTGCAGAATATGAAAGTCTGAACTAGGTTGCCCTTTATATCCATGCCCCAAGAGGGAGATAAAGGAACTATTTATTAAACGTATACATATAATATGTTCCCAACCTGTGCTAGGCACTATGTATGTGTGTGTACTTTACATGTATTCCATATAAACATACATGTATTCTATATGTATTTTGTTTATACTATGAAATCCATCCTTACAGTTGCTCGCCCCAAAACCTTGATGTGTCACTCTTTTTTCACTGTATATATTTATGGTGTACAACATGATGTTATGACAGACTTATGCATAGTGAACTGGTTACTATAGTCAAGGAAATTAACATATCCATCATCTCATATAGTTGCCCTTTTTCTTTGTGGTAAGAGCACCTAAAATCTACTCTCTTGGCAAGTTTTCAGCAAATATGATCAATTTTATCTTTATAATGTGCCTGGTATCTGACCACATGTCACCACCCCTACTGCCACCACTCTGGTCCCATCTGCCATCTTCTGTCATCTGGATTGTTGCATTGGCCTCGTAATTGGTCCCCTGCTTCCACAGCTGTCTATTCTCAACAAAGCTCCAGAGTGATACTTTAAAGACATAAGTCAGATCATGTAGCTCCTCTACTGAAAGCATTCCAGTGACTTCCATTTTACTCCATGATCTATCCCTATAGTGCCTTTCTGACATTGTCTCCTGCTCTTCTCCCTGCCCCATGGGACAGGATGTGGAACATTCTGAGTTTTACATAAATGGACGCACAGATTAGTTACTCTTTTGTGTCTGGCTCCTTTATTCCAACATTATAGTAATTAAGACACTGGTATTGTCTCAGGACTGAACAGACTAGTGGGAAAAAAGAGAGGGTCTGGAATTGTGCCCACATATACATGAAAAACATGAAAAGATACGTTAAAATATGAAAGGAAATGAGAGATACAAGAAAAGAGAGGGCCTGGAATTGTGCCTACATATACAAGAGTTGGTATGGAATTTGTATCCCCATCTTACACCATACACAAAAATCAATTACAGATAGATAAAAGACTTAAAGGCAAAATAAAAACCTACAGAAGAAAATATAGGAGAATAGCTCTACAACCTCTGGGTAGGGAGGCTTTCTTTTAAAAGATGACAGATACACAAATGAAGTAAATGTTAAATTTAAGTACAATAAAATTAAAAATTCCTGTTCAATAAATAGACCATGAAAAGTAAGAGACAAGCCACAAATAGGGAGAAGATATTTGCAGTACACACAACTGGCAAAAATTACTATCTGGAATATATAAAAATATCCCATAAATCAATTAATAAAAGTTAAGCAGGCACTTCAAAAGAAGAGATATATGAATGCAAAGATCCCTTATCCTATAAATAATCTGGGGATACTAATTAGGCATACGATGAGATGACATTTTATGCCTACTTACCAGATAAACACAAATTTAAAAGTTTGTCAAATATAATTATTGCCAGAATATGGAGAATCAAAGAGTTCTTGAACTGTGAGTGAGTGTATAAAGTTAGTCCAACCACTCTAAAAATAATTTGACATTACCCTATAAAGTAAAAAATGTGTACTTCATCAAAGAATGCATACAGTATAATTCTATTTATAAAACATCCAAAAACATGTAAAATGAAATAAAATTTTGTTTAGGAATGCATACCAAAATACACAGCAAAATAAAAGAATGGTGGCAAACATAAAATTCAAGATATTAAGTACCTTTGGGGGTGGGGTGGCATATGAAGGGATCAGACAGAGACACTTGAAGAACTTCAGAGGTTTGGACAGTAGTCTCTTTCTTAAGCTGAGTTGGGGGGTACATGGATTATTCTTCTTTAAACTATATTATATACTAATTTATGCCTATGATATATTTAATAAAAAACACAGCAATGATGAACAGTTCTAGAACTGCGTTGTCTAATATGGTAGTCAACAGACACATGCAGCTATTTAAATTATTTAAAATTAATTTTTCAGTCATACTATAATATTTAAAATGCTCAGTAACCATATGTGTGGCTGCTGGCTACCATATCAGACAGTGCAGATTATTGGGCAGCACTGTTCTAGGACATTCTTATCTCCCTAGAGTTAGATATTGTTTTTTGTCCACTTTTTAATAAAAGCCAGTAATTCATTGGTTTTCTGTAAAAAAAAAAAAAAAAAAAAAAAAAAAAGGTTTCCAAAATTCTGTTAGTAACAGCAGTAGGAGATGAAGCAAAGATTTACTTCCTATGGATTTCGTTGATCCTTTTAGTTAAAGGAAATGCCATTAACAAATTTGTTGGACTTCATATTTCAGCTCACTTAACTCATCAAGTGCCAGCATGAGCCTGATTATTCTTTGGCTTCAGAAAGTCAGAGATTATTTCCATGCATATATGTTCAGCTTCTATGCCAACAAGGTTGTGAGCAGAATTTAATCTGCTAAAATAATTCATTGTATAAAGATATCTAAAGCTACATGTCCTCCAAGGTAGGACATATAAGTGGGCAATGGTCTTGCAGAATAAAATCCATAAGTACTAGAGAGGAACATCTTTGTCTCCCTCCCACCTACTTTCTAGGTCCTTTACCAAAGCAGGCATTGCTAATCTGAGTGGTTCAGATTCTAATACTCTAGTGAGAATCTGACCTTGTGTGTTACAGGATCAAATACATGAGTGTCTTTCTCTATTTTTCTTGCCTCCATAGAGCAGAATCTGGCCTTGGACTCTGGTGTCTTTTCCCTCTTTTCCATTGCACATGCACTTGGATGTTTAAAACCCTGCCCTCATGTTCCTAATGCAGCTGCCATGAAGGTGGTAAAATTTTGAAAGTGGGGTTTTAGTTTTGGGGCAGAATGCATACTCCCCTCATCTCTTGAGTCTAAGCCATGGATTCCTGTCCAGTTGCCTAGAAAGCTGACATTGGAATTTCACCCACAGGCTCACTGAAAAGAAATAATGCCATTCTTCCCTTGCCATTGTCTATTGTGAGCACAGTGCCTTTGGAATTTCAAGGAGAACAGATGAGCTGAGCCAAGATAAAATTTAGGTGATACTTTATCCTTAGGCCAAACTTCCATATAATGGCACTTGAAGCCCCATTACCACACCCAAGAGATACTAGGTGGGGATTGATTCAGAGTTGAACAGGGAGTTAGAGAAGTCACAGTCTGCTCTTAGTTGTAGGATGGCCCTGCTAGGAGCTAACATCCCTCTTTAAAGAGGTGTTTCCCTCACTTTATGAGTGGTCATTATTCCATAAATACTAGAGATGGTACAGCAGGAGACATCAAGTCACTTTCCATCCTCACCTAAGACATTTAGGATATGCCTAGCCATCCTGGCAATGTCGCATTTTAAAGCCACAAATGTTTGCATGGCCTGCAGTCCTGAATCCCTGAAGAGAAAAAGACATCTTTAAAAACACCATTTTAATTGCTAAAATTTACTTCTAAAGGAGGCATATTTCATCTTATTGTTCTACTAATATAGTTTGTAATATCAGAAACAACAAACACCCCAAAATTCATCACAAGTATTCATAGCTATAACAAGAACCATCATAAAATAATTTCCATTTACCAACCAAAGTAATTATAATTCCAACCTCAACAAAAAGCTCTCCTTTCTTATGTTTTAATAACAAGCCCAGGTTTGTTTTTTTCCCCAATTATTTATTTCTTTATTATTCATTCATTTTTTTGTGTGTGATATAATTCATTGCCTAAGTCACTGGTTTCAAGCCTGTGTATTGTGGACACTTAGGAATTATAAGTGCTGTACAAAAGATACCTTTAACCCCTCTGTTTACCAAGTATTGGCTGCATACTGAATAAAAACAGATCTTCCTGTATATGGACTGCTATTTTCAAATGTCTGCAAGTGTTATGGTTAATATATGGTGGTTATTTCCTTTCTTTTTTGAAAACTTATACAAGATAATTTAAAATGGTTTTTGAATTGATAGTCATTTTTTGTCCTAGTACAAATATGTTATAATCAACTAATAACTTGAAACACAGGTAAAATTGTATGGTGATTTGGGGACTTTTCTGATGGTATAAAGGGGTCCTCAAACTCACAAATGTTAGGAAACCTTGATCTAAGTCATGCAGAATTGGGCCATCTCCTATTATTGTTGTGGGACTTTTCCTTAATTCAGCTAAAGATGGGGTCCTTGTCACATGGCCATGAAAATTTAGGCTCGCAGACGATTTGAAGAGTGAGAAAAATGGGATTTATTGGACAAAAAGGAAGAAAAGGGGAAACAGACTCTTAGCGAGGTAAGAGTTTATGCTTTCTGCTCATGGGCTTCCCGCCTTGCAGACTGAATCCCAGGTACAACCCAGGAAGAGGAGGGGCCAGGCTTCTCCCCAGAGAAAGCGATGCGGACTTCTGTGGTTGCACTCCAGTGCACACTCCTCCCAGTGTGCAGGTCGGTCAGAGGCTCTGCCAAGGAGCCCTTACCACCTGGCTGTCTCATTATGAACTAATGCCTGCAAATGGACGTTACAAATCATTGAGCAACAAGGATTTGTCGCTTTGTCACTGCTGACCAGTAGACATTAGAATATTGCTGGAGCAGAACCTGGGACAGAATCTGGGTTGTTAACAATGGAAAATTAACAAAGTCCTTTTAAAACCAAATAAAAATCCATTGCTTATCTAAAGTGATTATTTTTTTTCTTTTTTTTTTGAAAAATCCTATAATAGTACAATGTCTTTCCAAACATGAGGAAATAATAGGACCTAGAGAGAGCATGACAAAAAGTCAAGGAATCCCAGGCATCTAGCCATTTAGTTTCTCACCCAAGCATTGTCTTGTCCTGATCTTGACTCCCTTACGTGTCCCTGGATAGAGACAGTGCCCAGCTAACCCATCAGTCAGTATCCTCTCCTTTCTAACAATCCTCCCTTCATCTCAGGCTACTCACCTGCCTGGGATTCAGCTGTAGGAAGATGGGTAGTCAGTTACAATTGCTCCAGGGGCTGCATGTACACTGTGTCAAATATCTTTGCAGTTCTGATTAAATAGCCAACATTATCTGTTCTTCAGTAAGCTGCAAGTGAAGTCAGTGGGCTTGGGGGAGTGTGTGGGAGGCAGAAGGGAAGGCTAAAACTGGTGATGCAGCTGGGCTCTAGTACCAAGATCAAGAGATAAGATGCAATGAGTAATTCACTTCTAGTGAGTTTTTTCATAGTCAAATTAATTGGAAAAACAGTTTAAAAATAGTACAATCTGATATGTATCTTTTCCTTAAAGTTGGAACAGCAGGAACAGACAATTCTCTAAAAAATAAATTCCTTCTGTAATACAAGCTCCTTTAGCTCGGTTCCATTCCACAGTTTGCACTTCAGATTTCAGTTTATCAGCTTGCAAAATTCATGTTCTTGGTAACAACTAGGAGGAGGGAAGGTGAATCAGAGAATCTTCATGGCTGGATGAAACAAACAAACAATGAAAATCTTCTGTCATTGATGCTAAATCGGTGGTAGTGGCTTCTTGTGTAAGAAAACACACCTTGATAAGGGGTGGGAAGATTGAAGAGAAGTAGAAGGAGTGTATGGGGGAAAAACTTTATTGCCTTCTATCACCTACATGGGTTTTAATGGACATTTTATAAGGCTATCTTATCATACTTCCAAATTGATATGACCAGCTTCAGCACACAGCACACACTCTGCACATAAGAAGTACCCAATAAATATTTACTAACAGCATCTGACCAATTCAAGATCAATTTAGAAGACTGCTTCTGTCTTTTCTCCAGTCTATCTCTATTTGAATTCAGCTCTCAGAATTCCTCTAACTAGGCTCAAGACTGAGATTATAGTCAGAATTACTATAAAATTTGCTCACATAGGCCTGCTATTATGGTCAGAAAATAATATATTTCTAGAGGGAAACTCACCAAACAGCTTTTTTTCCTGATGATTTTCAAATATTTTTTAAACATCAATAATAAACAATAAGCTTTTTCATTTAAAAATTATATTATTCTGTCCATTTGCTGTAAAATAGTTCAAAAATAGGATCATATTTTTACCTACACTTCATAATATTGTTTTGCCATCTATGATTGCAAAAGGAAGGCCACATACTCGCCTATAAACTGGCGGTTTTGTTCACTTCTATTACTAAAGTCACCTTAGTTCTTCCTTTCGTAGGTTGCCTGAAGAGTTTGTTTGTAAAAGAGTAATAGATTAACACTCAGTAGAAATTTGAAAACATTGGGAAAAAATCTCATTTCCTTTTCCCAATCTTTTAATTTAGCTTTGTCATAAGTAAATGCAAATTCTAATCAGTGGTTCTTAAACTTCAGAATGCATAAGAATCCCTGGAAAAGCTTGTTAAGACACAGATTCCTGTACTTAGCCCCAGAGATATGATTTCGAAAATGTTGTCTGGGCATCAGGATTTCTAACAAGCTCCCAGGTGATGTGATGCTATGGGTATGCAGGGCACACTTGAGTAGTACTGTTCTAATGGCCTGGCTGAGTTAATGGAGCCATTCAAAACACCTGACGTCCTCCTAGAGGATTGTAGTTGGGTCCAAATAATCCAGCCTAATAAGTGAGGATGGATGTCAAGACGTGGGTGTCCTCCAGAAATATTATGTTTTGAGACCAGCCCCAGTTTGGCAAACATGTCGTCATAGCTGATCATTGTGACTCATGCCTACCAATTCAGTAAAGTCTTTGTGCACTTTACAGAAGTATGTGCACTTTCAGAAAGCTTGTTTCCTTAGCTTGGGAAGTACTGGGTCAAATCAAACTTGAGGTCATTCTAGTAGAACTGTGAGAAAGAGAAAGAGCACCCAAACAGATCCTGTTACTTTCTATGACAGCAGTTTAAAATACCATAGCCTGAGGAGAATGAGTGAACTCATCCATCCCCTTAGGAAGCAAAATGGATTGAAAAAAAAAACAGGTGTAAAGTGGATTTTCAATTAACTCAGACAAGTTTTTTTGTCCACTTGAGTTTTGTAGGAGCTTAGCCTGCAGAACAGCAGGCTGTCAGGAAACTAGGAAACATGATTCAAAGGACATGAGGTTTCCTTGAGTGTCACTGAGATGCATTCCTATCATCTAGTCTCCTCATGCTCAGTCTCTGTGAGACTCTGCTTGAGGAATAGACTAAAATCCAATTCAAAAGGTATTGAGAACTTCTGGCTGACATGAAATACATACACTTTACCCTATCTTCCCACTAATTACAATTAAAAATTTTAGATATAATACATAAATTATCTGGAATACTAAATAAACACATAAAAGTATATTCAACCTCATTAATCATTAAGGAAATGTAAATTGAAACCATAATAAGATATTGCTACATAATTACCAGAATAGCTTATTAAGCCTGAGACTACCAAGTGCTGGTGAGGATGCAGAGCTACTGGAGATCTCACACATTACTGATGGGAATTCAAAATGGTATAGTCATTCTGGAAAACAAGTTTGCAGTTTCTTATAAAGTTAAAGAACAAATGAGAACCAAAATTTCTAAATGATTACCCTAGTGTCTTAGTTTGTTCCTGCTGCTGTAACAAAATACCTGAGACTGGGTAATTTATAAAGAACAAGAATTTACGTCTCACAGTTCTGAAGTCTGGGAAGTCCAAGATCAAGGTGCTGGCAGGTCTGGTGTCTGCTAAGGGCTGATAACTGCTTGCAAAATGTGCCTTGTTGCTGTGTTCTCCCAAGGGGATGAATACTGTGTCCTCATATGGTGGAAGGGCAAAAGGGCCTAGCTATTTCCCTCAGGACTTTTTACGAGGTCACTAATCCCATTCATGAGGACTCTGCTCTCATGACTTAATCCCTGCCTAAAGGCCCTACATCTAAATACTAACATGCTGGGTTTTAAGCTCTAATATATGAATTTTGGGAGAGACACATACATTCAAACCATATCACATAGAAAAATGAAAACTATATTCACACAAAACTGTACATGAATTTTAATAATAGCCTTAAAGTGGAAAAAAAATGTTTTTCTATCATGTTTTTTAAAATTTTATTATTATTATACTTTAAGTTTTTCAACAGGTGAATTAACAAATTGTGATACATCCATACAATGGAATACTATTCCATAATAAAAAAGGAATGAATTAAGGATATGTAAACAACATGAATGAACCTCAAATACTTATGTGAAATGAAAGAGGCTAATCTAAAAAGGCTACATTCACAGACCTTTACACCAAAACAAATGTGAATTTTACTATATGTAAATTTAAAAATAAAAACAGTGTCTGCTAAGGCTGAACATATATATATATATACACACATATATACACATATATATACTTATATACATATATACACATATATACATATATACATATATACACATATATACATATATACACATATACACATATATACACATATATACATATATACATATATATACATATGTACACATATATATGTATACATGTGTATACATATACACGTATATATGTATACACATGTATACATATATACGTGTATATGTATACATATATACGTGTATATGTATACATATGTATACATATATATATAGACACACACACACACACATATATATGTTCTAGAACCCCATCATTTTATTCCTTGGCTTATATCCAAAAGAAATGCATATAATTATTCACTAAAGGATATACATGAAAATGTTTACAGTAATATTACTCACAATACTTTAAAAACTAACCAAATAACCACCAATAATAGGATGTATAAATAAAATATAGTATTTTCATACGATGTAACATACATGGGAATTAATGAACTGCAACTACACACAATAATAAGACCTACTGTCACAAAAAAATGTTGCATTTAAGAAGCCAAACATGAAAGTGTACATACTAAATAATTTAACTTATATGAAGTTCAAAAGAAGGTAAAACTAATCTAAGGTCTTAGAAGTTGGGGCAGCATTTACCCTTGGCAGGCTAGTAGTGACTGGAAGGGAAAGATAAATCCTATTGAGGTGCTGGTAATATTCTGTTGTTTACCTAGGTGCTGTTCAAATGGGTGTGTTTGGTTTGTGAAAATTTATAAAGCTGTAATCTTTTGATTAGTACACTTGCTTTGTGTGCTATATACTTCAGTATTATGTGGATATGAATAGATTTTTCTAACAAGAGTTTCCACAGATTTCATCTGTTTTGCAAAGGATTTTCTGCCTCAAAAATAATTGTAACCATTGAACTGGTGAAGAAAGAACAGACCTTGGATGGCATTAGGTTTGTGGGTTGATCACAAAACTGGTTTTTTTCTGTCTTTTTCTGAGTTGAAAGAGTCTAAGTCCTATCCTATTTAAAGTGTTGGTGATCTTGTGATATTCCCCAATCCTAGCTATATTTCTGAGAAAGCTGTTCAGTGTTTACCTGAAACTGAGGTGTTTCCTACGACTAGGGACTTTCACTGGAAAACTGGGAAAGTCCTGGGAAAACTAGAATGGAAGTGGAAGAGACGGTTGTCTTGCTCTTTTTAGAAAACAGCAAATCTCCGAAGTCTCATGTCATTGGAGTTATTGGACTCTGGGAATCACCTGACTCCCGTAGAAGCACCTAAATGGGTTTTGCAGAAAAACTGGGTGGAATTTCCAGCAGTTCCAGTATTTGAAGAAAACTAGTGAGGGTCAGGACAGCATTTAAAAATTCCCAGATGTTCTGAGTATGAGGGCCGCCACATCACCTGGCCTTTAATCAGTCCTCTGTATGATGCCTCCTTTCATCCTCCAAGTTAAGTACAGGGACTTGGTTTCCTGTGTCACTTCAGCCGGCTGCAATTTTAGCAGTGGCTGCAATTTTAGCAGTGGCTTCAGGATGGACAAGTGATTGAATGAATGTCTTTCAGAGTCCTTGCTGGTAGATCAGATTGAGCCAAGGCAAACTTGTCACCATACAATGAGTTTCCTAATGCCCAGAGAAAAGGCATAAATGGCCCATTAGCCCTTGAGAGTTTTCAATGTAATGTAGTTTCTCTTTCTAGGATTGTGGCTTTTGATGTTTTCCTCTTATATTAGGTGAAAACCACTTAAAACATATTCAATATAAGACAATCAAAACCTGTCATTAAAAAAATTCTCTAAACATCGCAGAAAACTATAATGCAGGCGAATGGACATTATGTTTTACTTTTTAACCTGGTTCTAAATCCCTTCAAATAGAAGACATCTATTTTGTTAGTCGATATAGGGTTCTACTCTACCATCTAGAAAAGCAGCCATGATTAGTATGAGAGCTAGAAAGAAGGTGGAGTGGAAGGGGGAAAGAGAACTCTATCAATTACGTTGATTGAGCACGGGGTATATTTCTGAAATTTCTGACCCACCATATATATATGTCTGTGTGAGTGTGTGTATATATATATACGCACTATATATGTGTATGTATGTACACATACATATATACATATTGCATATATATCCTTATATACTTATATAAGGATATATATGAAAATATTACATATATATATATCCTTATTTAATCCTCCCAACAACCTTTGAGTGTATTATTATCTGTTTTATAGATAAGAATCTAAGGTTGAGAGAAATTAAGTAATTTGCCTTATGTATGCACAGAAAGCATAAAAAGGATTTGAACCCAGTTCTTCTTGATGCCTAATGATACCTCAGGGACTTTATGACCACTCTGGGCCTGGGAAATAAAACAGTCCATTTTGCAAAGGAGTACTTGAGCTGGTGGTTTTCAGGATAGTTTTGTTTCAGATAATCCAAGAGAATTGTGGAAAAAAATTGTTCTAAGACAGAAGCTTGTGAGCTGACATTTCTAGCTAAGGAGAGTTCATTGTGTTTGGGGTGAAAGGGAGATGAAATATTTTAGCATGGGCGAAATGCAAAGTCTACATGGGGTAATGACAAGAAAAAAAGAATGCATAGATTGTAGGTGAGGGGAAGGAACTTGAATCCTAGGTAAGTGTGTTGGCTCAGATGAGCCCAGAATTCCATATTGACATAGAGGGACTGTTTCCCAAACAAAGCCATTTTTATATGCTGTTCATCAGACTATACACCAAGCTAATGGTCTTACCTTGTATCTTGAGTTCTTCTAGAATTGACAGTCATCTCTAAGAAAGATTAGCTGAATTAGTACTGAGTAAATCCGCACATATGTGGGTTGATCTCAGATATGGTAACTCAGATTGTTTTTTAATACCATAATACGTTTTTCTCCATTTTCAATGCATTTATCACCACTTTCTGTCCTTGAGATAATTATATAAACACAATTAACTATAAGGCAAGTGGAAAGACTGTTATTACTGTAGTTGTCTTTAAATCTTGGAAATCAGTGATTTAGCTGACCCTGCTTTCCAACATTATCTTAATGCTAGCACTAAATTATTGTAAATCCAACATGTTTTCCAAGTGCTTTTATTCTGAAAGGTTCAAACTGTTTTCTAGATTCTTCATTAATCCTCACAATATGTGCAGGAGGTACTTGCTGTCAAACGTCAGGCCCATTTTACAGATGGAGGATTTAAGCAGTTTAATAAAAGACATGTCAGTCACATCCTCAAAGGAGTAAGGATCCAGCTCAACCGTGAACCTAGACCTGCTGGTTCCCCAGCTGTTGCTGTCTTTATTAAGGAATGTGGCTTCTCTTGGTTTCACTCTGGTGCTGGCCTTCAGCTGGTTACTAGGCAACTTGAGTGATCACAGCCTAGGTGGTTCAAAATACCAGAGCATCAAAGTCCTAGAAAAATGAAGCAAAATCTTTTCATTGTACACATGTTAAATTTAGTCTAATACCAAACCATTGTACCTGAGATTGGCCAGGAAAAAAACAAAAAAGCTTTGAAGGGCTACCAAACACCATGCGTCTGATATTTGGGTTAATTTTAGGCTGATAATTATTACAAGTGTCTTAGAACACAGAAGAGGAAAAATAAAGTATAGGCTGCTTGCTCTACAGAGCTTAGAGCCCAAGGCACTCAAATAAATAGTTGTATCACATGGAAAGATGATGTAAAGTGGTTGATGAGGGGTCAAGATAGAGAAGAGAAATCGTCTGATAACCAGGGCAACTTGATGTTAGCTTCTGTAAGCTTTCATGATGATTTCAAAACGAGAAAGCAAAAGTGAAAGTAGAGGGAACAAATTTCCCCAGCTACTTATTTCTAAAGCTCAGAAAGGAATTTATCATAAGAGTAACAGGAAGAAAACAGCTCGGTGCAGTCTTTTATAATTCTCAGTGTGAGGATCCATGTGGGCTTGGTTATATGAAGTGGGTTTTCTCCTTGAAGACAGAGAAGGGTACAAAATGTGGTGGTCCTGGGCTTTGCAAACAATAGCTGAGTCACAAACCACAGCACAGTCCTTGGAGACATAGTGAGAGAGTGGCAGGCTGAGCCTCCACTTCCCATCCAGACACATGACATGTTGCTGGGAGCATTTTCACTTCGTTCTGTTTCATAAGGGGACATTTGAACCAGATTTTAAAAGGCAAAAGCTCAATTTTTCTTAGTTTTAAAAAATGTTGCCATTTATTTGAAAACCTGTGGGACAATTGGCCTCTAAGATACACTTTGCCCCACCCCCTCCCATCTATCTCACAGCTAGGCAGACCAACTCAAAATGTGTCCCTTAAAAATCCTGTTTCCATGTGGCTCTGCTTAAGGAGGTACTCTAACCCAGAAATATCATCCTGGAATAGAACAGACAGCAAGATGGATTATGCATCACAAGTAAAGTACCTGCCATCACAATTACAACTCTAATATATAGTGAACACTGGCCAATAGCTTATGCTCTTTAAAGGAAGAGATGTTATTTTCATTTCTTCAGAGTTCTTGAGAATTCTTTAAAAAGTAAAGAAGTTATGTAAATATTGGAAGATAGTCATATCACACTGATTTGCAAATAATTCCATGGTTACCTAAAAAAACAAAAAAAAAACCAACAGGCTCAATTAAAAGAAAATTATGTGACTAGAAGTAAAATAATTTGGTAAGGTGCTGGTTACCAGGAAAAATATTTTAAAAACCAACTGATTTACTCATAGAAACCAGATAGAAATAGAAATGGAAAACACAACCATACACCTCATTAACAATAAAATAAAAACTACAAATTACATAGAAACAATTTAACAAGGAAAATGTAACATTTATTTAAAAGAGCTATAAATTTTATTGAAGGACATAAAATGAGATCTGAATAAATGTATTGACAAACTATACCCCTTGATAGAAAGTATTTTCCCCCCTAGGTCATTGACATTTTTATTTTTAAATTTTTTTATATATAATATACATATTTTGAGGGCACATGAGGTAATTTAATATATTTGTATAATTTGTACAGATCAAATCAGTGCAATTGGGATATCTGTCACCTTAAATACTTTTCTTTATGATAGAAAAAATTGAATTATTCTCTTCTAGTTATTTTTGAAACATATAATAGATTATTATAAACTATAGCCGCCCTACTGATCCATCAAACACTAGGTCTAATTTATTACAACAAACTGTATCTTTATACTCATTAATCAGCCTCTCTTCATTTCCCCCCACCCTGTACCCTTCCCTGCCTCTGATAACCATCAATTTCCTGTCTATCTTCATGAGATTCTCATTTTAAGCTCCCACGTGGGAAGGAGAATATGTGATATTTGTCTTTCTGAGCTTGGTTTATTTCACTTAACATAATGACCTCCAGTTCCAACTATGTTGCTGCAAATCACAGGATTTCATGCTTTTATGGCTGAATAATATTTCATTGTGAATACATACTACATTTTCTGTATCCATTCATCCATTAATAGGTACTTAGATAAATTCCATATCTTGGCTATTATGAATAATGCTGCAATAAACATAGGAGTGCAAATATCTCTTTGATACATTGATTTCCTTTCTTTTTGGGTATATACCCAGCAGTGGAATTGCTGAATTATATAGCAGTTCTATTTTTAGGTTTTTGAACTTCCATACAGTTTTCCATAGCTGCTGTACTAATTTGCATTTTCAACAACAGTGTACAAGTGTTTCCCTTTGTCCACATTCTCACCAGCATCTGTTATTTCCTGTCTTTTAACAGAAGCCATTTTAACTGCAGTGAGATGACATTTCATTGTGGTTTTGATTTGTAGTTCCCTGATTAATGATGTTGAGCATTTTTTTCATATACCCATTGGCCATTTGTATGTCTTCTTTTAAGAAATACCTATTCATGGTATTTCTTAAAATACCTTGGAATCAACCTAGGTATCCATCGATGGTGGATTGGATAAAGAAAATGTGGTACATATACACCATGGGATACTACACACCCATAAAATAATGAAATAATGTCCTTTGCAGCAACATGGATGCAGCTGGAGGCCACTATCCTAAGCAAATTAATATGGAAACAGAAAACCAAATTATCGCATGTTCTCAATTTTAAGTGAGAGTTAATCTTGGGTACATAAAGATGGGAACTATAGACACTGGGACTCCAAAAGGCAGGAGGGAGGGAGAGAAGCAAGGGCTGAAAAACCTCCTTTTGGGTACTATGTTCATTATCTGTGTGACGGGATCAATAGAAACCCAACCTCAGCATCATGCACTGTAATCTTGTATGATAACAAAACTACACCAATACCCCCAAATCTAAAGTAAAAATGGATTTTTTTTTAAAAAAATTTATTCAGGTCTTTTGCCCATTTTTAATTGGATTATTTGTGGATTTTTTCTTCTATTGATAGTTTGAGCTCCTTAAAGATTCCAGTTATTAATCCCTTGTCAGATAGTTTGCAAATATTTTCTTCCACTTTGTGTGTTGTCTATTCACTTTGCTGTGCAGAAGCTTTAGTTTGATGTAATCCCATTTGTCTATTTTTGCTTCAGTTGCTTGTGCTTTTGCAGTCTTACACAAAATATTTTTATCCAGACTACCATCCAAAGCCCTAGAAATTCTGCTCTGTATTTTGGCCAAAGGAGACATCAAATCTGAGTGGCTGTTCAGCATCACCATGCTGTCTCTCTTTTTTTCTCAGCTAAGTCACTGTCTCTTTTTCAGCACTAGATGGCTGCCAGGTTTGCTGAGGCCCAGGTTTGCCTTGGTTCTAATACACAATTAGAGTGCCATCCAACCCAAATGGGAAAGTTCCAAAGGGGATATCCCAGTAGTATGGAAAGTCTTGTTAGAGGTTCATGCCCAGGGGACCTGAAACAAACCTGAAACAAACAAAACCCAGACTATAGCATGGTGATGCTAAACAGCCACTTTGGATGGTAGTCCTACCTCACCCCTTTGTCTCTGGCTATGCTCAGGGATATTTCTCCTTTCAGGTACTCTTGATGCTTCCTGTGGGTTGAGGTAGGGACAGGTCTCCTGACAGGGAATCCAAGATGGTGGGGAAGCTAGTTGTCCACCTTTGTCTTACTTTCACCAGTGTGGAAACCATGGGTCAGGGAAAAGTTTTCTGTGCATTTAGTGATGGACAGATTGCAGGGAAGGGTGTCACAGATGTACAAATCCAATTCTCTTCCCATCTGCTCAGAGTTTTTTCACTTTCCTGTGGCCCCAGAAATGGTCTCATCCTCATATTTTAATTATTAGACATTGTTGGTGATCATCTTGACACTGTATATGTTTTTGATTCTCTGTAGTGATGGGAGGAATGAAGCCAGCTTATATCTACACCACCATTTTGGAACTGGAAGTCCTCAGAAAGTCTTAATATAATAAAAATGTGATTTCTTTTCAAATAAATACACTTAATATCATTTCAATCAGAAACCCAACAAGGTTTCTTTATAAAATTGATAAAATGATTTTTCATAAGAAAACAAAGTATGCAAAAATTGCCAAGAATGTTTTCGAAAAAGTAGTAAAAAAAAAAAAAAAAGATTTATCCTACCTGCTACTAAAATTAAAGACTGCTGTATTCCAGAATCTCCCTCTCAGCATTTGTTTCTGCGGAACCCACCATGACACAGTAATGATCTATCACTCAACCATATTTTGATGGGAATGTCAAAATTTAATTTCAACACTGTTTTTTATTCAGGTGAAGGAACATGAAAGGAAAGTGTATTTAAACTTTTTAAACCTACATATTGTGGCCAGTTGGGTCCCAGGTGGGCTACGCATCCATAAAATAGTCCTCATGATCCATCTCCTATTGTCTTATGCCTTTTGTGCTTCGCTTTTTAAACTTTTGCTTTTGTGACCTGGTCCTCCTCCTTGACTGGATCGTTTGGCTTATGTTCCATCCAGTACAACCCCTCCCTGCTTTGCTTGTACTTCTGTGATTTGGCACCCCTCCTTGTGCTTTGTTCTGGCTTGGCCACATTTATGCTCCACTTGGCTTTGGCTCAAGATCCAGCAACTTTTTTTCACTTGCTCTATCCTACGAGCCGTTCCAGAATTTCAAATTTATTCACAGCCTCATTCACAGCATACTGCTCTCCCTCTGAAGAAAAATATCTCAAGTGGATTATAGCAAGTGGCTATACTTAAGAAATTTGGAGGCTCTGGGCATGTTTTATTTATCAGCCAGGAATCGTAATTATAGTTGTATTAGTTTGCTCAAGCTGCCATAGCAAAGTACCACAGTCTAGGTGGCTTAAGCAATAGAAATGTTTTTTTTTCTGAAAGTTCTGGAAGCTAGAAGTCTGAGATCAAGGTGTAGTTGGGGTTGGTTTCTCCTGAGGTCTCTCCTCTTGGATTGCAGATGACCGTCTTCCTCCTATGTCTTTATACATCTTCCATCTGCATGTGTCAGTGTCCTAATCTTTTCTTATAAGGATACCTGTCATATTGAACTAAGACCCACTCCAATAACCTCATTTAGCCTTAAGTACTTTTTAAAAACCCTATCTCCAAATATAGTCACATTCTGAGGTACTGGGGTTAGAATGTCAACATATGAATTTGTGAGAACCCACAGTTGAGCCCACAACAGAAGTTTGGCTGCCTGGATCAAACATATATTCACTACTTTCTAACTAAGGGAATCTGAGCAAGTTCCTTCATTTCTTTTGGCCTCAGTTACCTTCTCCATTAAATGAAGTATTTGCCTCACAGAACTGTTGTGAAGACTAAATAAAAATGGATGTCCAAAGTGCCTGACTCATAGTTAGCACTCCATAAAGGTTAACTATTATTAGCATCTTTGACATTCCAGCACCAATACAGAATCCAATACAAATACACATAATACATATTGATATATGTAAAAATATGCAAATGTGAGATTTTTATTCAGTTGCTCATTTGCTTAACAGGTATTTATTGAGTATTTACTGTATACAGTCAATTCTTATGATTTGTGTTGGTTATGTTCTCTAAAGTCACTGTGAACACTGAATTATTTAATACCGAACCATTGCTCCTAGTAGAAACACAGGATTAGGTTCCTATAAGCCTCTAGCCACAATATTTTCAATAACTGATCAATATATAACTTTGTTTTATGTGTATTTCTGTTTCAAAACACTTTATCTAATATATAGTTAATTCATTAACATTGAACTCATGGCCAACAGCACATCACTCATACCTGAACAAAGCTTGTCTAACATATGTGTTTTCTCTGTAACGCATATCATGGCGTTTTTGTACTTAGCAACATTAGACAGCACTCCAGCACTACGCTACATTTTAAACAGTGAAATTACCAAGAAGAAGCACAAAAATGCAAAAAAAAAAAAAAAAAACCATGGCAGTAAATAGACTACAAAAGGACACTTGTTTAGAGTCTGAGAGCAGAAATAAGAAGGCAGAGTGTCACCTTGTTCAACCTCAGCTGGGAGCATGCATGCATATTGAGAGACTAAAATTTTTCATTGCTTAGCACATATCCATTAATGACCATGAAACTGCTGCTACTATTGATTTTGGGGGTTGCAAATAACTTTTGGCAAGTAAGTTAGTTCACAAATACAGAATCCTAGAGTAAGGAGAATCCTAGAGTAATGTCAATCACTGTATTAGGTTCTAGGGCACACTACAGAACAAGGCAGTTGCTTTAGTGTTGCTTACTGTCTAGCAGAGGACAGAGCAGTAGGGTGGCAAAAGAGGGACTTAATGAGTGACCTGCTGATTTAAGGAGTTTACAGAAATGTTCTGATTCTTTGAATCCTCTGGAGAGGAAGAGGATTCCAAGTATCTGCCTCCTGAAGGAGCTCTGCTGTCACTCCACTTTCCGACGATTAGTTTCTATTTCCAGAGGGTACCACAATTGGGGAAGACCCTAGTGAAGTTCAAACTGAGTTATGTAGTATGTCAGCATGTTTTTGTGTGTCCTCTGTCTCCTGGGAAATGCTTGCACTTGACTTGATATGGAAATAGCATTATCTCTTTTACTCAAATAGTCCCTGGCTGCAATACTTGCCCTCTTCAGCATGTGTCGCTAACCTTTTGGTGCTCTCTTCAATGCCAACAGCCAGCATTCTTCAAGGTGAGGGCATGAGGGCAGTGAGCAGATCTCTGTTGGGGACTCATATGGACTTGTTCTACTCCGCACTCTGCCACTGAACTTTAATACAAGGATTCTGAATTTCCTCTGCGCATGAGAACCTCCAGGAGGGTTTTCAAAAACCAATAATGCCAAGCTCTATCCCTGACCAATCAGATCAGCTCTGAGGGTGGGGCCCAGGCATCTTAAATTTAAATTATTTTTTTAAAATTCCCAGATGAATGTCATGTGTATCCAGAGTGGAGAACCACCACTTTGATTTATTTGTGTTTCAATTTACTCATATATAGAAAAAGATGTTGGCATCTGATGAGTCCCAAGAAAATATGCTGTAAGCTACAATCCTAAATTCCATTTCAAAACTACCGGGACACTTCCTCCTCCAGTCTTTTTTTCTACTAATATAGCTACTATAAGAAATATGCTAATTAATAGATTTTCTTCCCCACAGTATGTTTACGACATCATTGATGTCTGTCTCCCTATTCACAAGTTTGGAAGAAAATAAAGTGATGTTTTTCCTTCCAAAGAAACAAAAACAAAAGAGGCAAAAATATAACTCAGTGTATACTGAATGGGAACAAAAACACTATGATCTTTCACATGATAGCTGAACTTAAATGCTCTGTGACATGAATTTCAATGCCATTTTCTGTCTCTAATCACATCCCTTGAGCACTGAGATCTGAGTGCCATCACTGTGGTTAGAAAGAGCAAAAGAGACACAGAGTTGAGCCAAACAGGTTTTTTTTTGTTTTTGTTTTTGTTTTTGAAAAAGAACCTGTCTGGGATTCTGAAAAATAGTTCAGATCAAAATCTACAAAGTAAACCTAGAATAAATTTGAGTGGGCAGATGAGCAGAGCAAAGTCCACAAGGCTCTCCCCACAGGCCAAATGATGAGTGAAGTAACGGACACTTTGGCAGAGTTCTCATCAAATGAGACACTAAAATCCCATGCTTGAGTTACTTAATAAAACCCTCTTTGAATTATATACAGCAAGTCTTCCTAAGGTAAAACAAAATTGTGAGAATAATTTAGATACTCTAATCAGCAGTGATCCAAAGAGATGCTAACTATTAATGAATGCAGTTTAAAAAATTATCTGGTACTAATCTGTTAGGTTGGGACACTCAGTTCATGAACCACATGGGGCATAAAATATATTGTTGATGTCCAGCAGCCAAGATATGATGTTTTTCAAGCCTGTTGGCAGTAAAGGGAAAAGATAATGGAAAGAAGCTCTGAGAAAAGTCTGAGTATGGGTCTAGGAACTTCTAGAATGTACCAGAAGTTGGGCAGTATTGCTTGATTAGTAAGGTGTCAGCAGTTACTTCAATTCACATGAATGGCAAATGACACCCTGACAGTGACATATTCAAAGACTACACACAATCAGATCCCAGGGAGAAAAAATAAAGACTGGGTAGAGTGTGTTGTCCATGACACAGAGAAGTAAGCAGGTAGAATGTGTCTACACAGGCATGAATCAGAAGTGAGGTCAGGAAACAGAAATTAGGAAGCCAAACTCAAATATTGAGTTCCAAAGGCTGAAGGATTCTATGAGTCAGAAATCTAAAGTGAGACAAACTTACCTAGAATTTCCGAAACAAATACAGAGCTGTTAGTAAGAAAAGATCTGGGAACTGGAGGCTTCCTGATAGGTAGACCAACCCTTCTGGTTTTTGTGGCACTTTCTTGGCTTTAGCACTGAAAGTCCTGTACCCAAAGACAGCCTCTCAGTCCTGGGAAAACAGAAACAGTTGATTATTCTGTTGTTATATAATCCTGAGCCAAGACTGAACATTTTCTGAGTAAGAGGAGGCCTATTCTAAGGAAGACTATAAAGAGATACAGACAATTTGAGGGGAATGTCAGAGAATAAATAGGGAATCAAGAATGTACCTTATAGCTAACACATCTGGCCATGGGTTAGACATTCTTCTGAATGTCCTTTTATTTCTTGGGATTTCAGTTTCCATTTCCTTGGCTGCAAAATGAATACTTGGGATTAGGGCAATGACTTTAAATCTTTTTATTGTTCTCCTTTGAAAGCAGCAGAACATTTTTTTCAAATAAAACCTTACCCAGAAATGAATATAAAAACCAGATAAAGCAGAGTTGCTGGGTTGAAGCCAGGCTGGGAGACCTATAACCCTGACCACTTGGCTGTACACCCAATTCTGCCCCCAGACAGCCCCTGAGGCATCTGTGCTGGACCTATATGGCTCTGAAAAACACAGTTTTAAAACCATCAGCTGGATGATCTTCAAGTTCTCTCTGGGTCAGAAATCCCATGATGCCTTGGCCATCTGCAACATTACACCGATTTTTTCAGAAGTGAATTAACTGTCCCTGCCTCAATTATCTCTCCCTCCCTCTAGCACACACACTATCAGAATACAGTCAGGCAACAAGCTTGGTTGGGCTTTGCTTACTCTCAAAGTCAAACAATGCATAGAAAACATAATTAAATCATCATCTCTGGGTGGTATGAATATGGGTAATGGATTTTTTCTTGTGGTGGCATAAAAATGTGTGTGCCTGTGTTTCTGTATTGTCTACAATCTGAATATATTTATTTACTTGATCTTATGCAAAACCCTGGAGCTTGGACAAGGTTTGGCCTCATCTACTTTATTTGATCTACTTACCTCCTCCTCCTCAGAGACTTTTTTTTCTTGGTTCCTCCTTTTTGCCTTGCATCCTCGCTTTCACAGTGCACGTTTTCAGTTTCTCCTACATCATTTTCCACCCTGCATTTGGACTCCCTTTGCCATGTTGGCTTCCAATGTGAGTTTCATAATTTAATTTCATAAATTAGTGTTTACGTCCCCTGTTCCTAGGGGACTGAACATGCCACACTGTTTCCAGTGGGTCTCCCTACAAGCTAATTCCCCGGCCAAAGGCCTCTTTTCTCCTTGCAAATAGCTTAGTAATCATGCTGTACACACCTCTAAGACTTAAGGGGTGATCCATTCCCACTTCATTAGGCCTCACAGGCTATGCTTCCCTGTGAAAAGGATGTTCTAATAAAGAGGAGCCAAGTCCTTGAATTTGACAACCCTAGATGGTGCACCATTTGGTCTCCCAGAGGATGAAGACCCTCTAATTGAGCCTCAGATCTTGCCAAGGGATGTATCCCTCCCTTTGCTGGGTGTAATCAAACTCTATGGATAGATATTGATGACCATATCACCTTAAAAGGATCAGGACCAGAGAGGTACAGCAAGCCCCAGACACAGTACATTGGAAGGTGGTGGAAGAATCAGGTGACAGCTATTAATAAGAATATGTTTTGTTACCTTAGGAAGAAAGGACACTAAACAAAAGGAAAAATCTTTATTTGAGTAATTGCTCACAAGCTACACTCTACATTCCAGCAGTCAACCCAGTTTCAACCATTCTTTTCTTCAATTACCTAGTACCTGACTCATGCCCAACTAGATTTTCCTGGTCTTTTGCTTCCTCATTAATTTGTGTCCTTGGACTATCAGATCTGACTTTTTGCAATGTCATTCTTCTGTCAATAATTCTGCATATTTTGAACTATCCAACCTTGCTGCTCCTGATTCTTAAAAGATGGTAATGAATAGATTTAAGTTAGGATGAAATGTTCTACCACTGATTAATTTTATGAGTCTTTGCAAATTACCTAAACTCTCTAAATCTCACTTTTTTAGCCGTTAAGTGGGAAAGATTTGCCACATAAGATCGTTGTGAACGTTAAATTATATTTATCAAATGTTTGGCACGCTATCTGCCCCATAAACAGCAATTGTTATTTAAATAAAACAGGACTACTCTAAATGTGGTTCATGGAGCAGTGATGCTTGTTTGTTACTGGTCTGTGATGAAAAAGTACAGAAATTGAGAGTCAGCCCTTAGAAACTTTTAGATTGGAAAATTTTCTTTTTAAAAAACTGGTTCTTTCCTCACAGATACTTTGAGAAGCACCAATGTAGTTGAAACCTCAGTTGAGAAAATGTCCGACCGACCACTTAAATATATCACTACGAAAGACATTCTTTTTTTTTTTTTTTTTTTTTTTGGAGACAGAGTCTCACTCTGTCTCCCAGGCTGGAGTGCACTGGCACAATCAGCTCACTGCAACCTCCGCCTCCTGGGTTTAAGCGATTCTCCTGCCTCATCCTCTCAAGTATCTGGGATTATAGGCACGTGCCACCACACCCAGCTAATTTTTGTATTTTTAGAAGAAAGGGGGTTTCACCATGTTGGCCAGGGTGGTCTTGAACTCCTGACCTCAAGTGATCCACCCGCCTTGGTCTCCCAAAGTGCTGGGATTACAGGCGTGAGCCACTGCGAGACATTCTTAAGGATATTCAATGACTTCTCCTTTTTTTGCTGCTGATTGTCTTCATGGTATTGTCAATCCTGGAAAGCCCTCCTGTCAGACTATTACATTTGTGAAGGACCTCTTTCTCTTTTTTGCTCATCTGTTGGTGTCTGTTAAAGAAACACAAATTAACATTAACACTTGTTCAAAACATAGCTCAGAAAATCTGTTTCAAAAGCACACGGGATGCATTCCAAAGCCAACTGGCATTTCTGGTTTGTATTACTCATGCCATTTCTCAAAGCTGTCAGGGGATAATTAAAAGTCAGAGAGGAAAATTTAATTCTTTTCATGTTAAGGTATAGTGACTGTAGTAGAAAGAAAACGTTAAAATTTTCATTGGCGGAGGAGAGGAGGGCTTGATTAAATCTAAAGAAAACAATCAATTCTAAATGTATGCTGTGGTCACTTTATCCATTAGCTTGAGGACAAGAGTGGCATTTGGAGCACAGACTTCAAGGCATTGGCACTGGGCCATTCCTGCAGCACACAGTCCTTATGGAGACATTTAATTAGTGCATTTTGCATGAGTGCCTATAGACACAGGAGGGACACTGTGCCATCTAGCACTTTTAGGGTCAATTGATGGCTGAAGAGAAGGCCAACCTGCAAAATCATGATAAATTGTTTGAGATTAGGGACTTCATATTACTTCCATTTTTAATACACTTCATGCCTAGAATAGGGCCTGGAACACAGTAGGCATTCAATCAAATATTTGTTGAATGAAAAAAATGAATTTCAAGGTCACCAATTATAGAATACCTCTAGAAACATGGTTTTGTCATTGGTTTGGTCCAGGATACCTGGTTCTGCTAAATGGTAGAACCAGGATTCAAACACAAAGCTGTCTAACTCCAGAGTTCATGCTCATCCTACTACAGCCTGCTGCAGAGATGACACCAGAAACAAATGTCATGCTTTTCACATTAGAGTGGCCCTAGGATATCTAATCTAGGCCACCCACTCCCCAGATTTCACTGAGGCTGTGTTACCCCTCACTTCTCTCACTCCTCTCTAAAAAGGAATGTATAGTGGCACTTCTTAAACTTACTACTAGGAAGATAAAGTTGGATGCTTTTACTGTGGGCAAGAAGGCTTCCATTTCTCTGTCTTCATCTATGGAATGTGTTCTGGCTTTGTCTTAAATAACCTAAGCTAGCCCTTAGGGATACAAAAGTAGAGATTACTGTAATAGATTGAAGAATAAAGCCAAAGTGAAATTTGATTCTAAAAATTCTTTCTAGTCTTATCTTTATCTTCCCTGTTCCAACAGCTTCATGTATTATATTACCCTTGAGCTTCCTTCACTTGAATATTTGTAATACAGTAACAGAACTAACAACAGTGTTTAGTTTAAGTAAACATGATAACATTTTCCAAGAAAACGGACCACCTTTCATTGATCAGCAAAACAACCAAAAATTAGATGAGCTCTGTATTGTGCCCTGAGGCGTGGAAGACTCAGACTTTGTTATATTGAGGAAGAAAAGGACTTTCAGACTCATAAACTCAGAGTTCCTTGATTTGACATCAATAATCTAATGTAGTGGCTTCATAAAGTGGGGCTTAGGGCTTAAAGTGTTGTAAAAGTTGAGGCCAAGAGAAAAATAGGGATGAAGGCGTAGGTTAAAATGGAAAGAAATTAACGAAGGCTGGAAAGGAAGAGAAACAAATCAAGGAATAATGAATTAAAATTTCAAATCCAGCTCCTAACTAGTGTCTCTTCCTGGATTAGATGCTATGAGAAGTGTGAAGAATGAATTTCTTTGTCATCTTTTGGATGAAATGTATCTTACACCTAAGTTAATGATTATACCTGAGTTTATAGTAAAGTGCAAAGGCATAATAGAGCAGAAAAAATGTGTGCTAGAGGTGATTCCATTTAGAAGAGGGGAAAGTAATGTTTGCTCACAGCTAGCAAAAATAGAAGGTGACAAATAGCAAAGTGAGTTAAAATCAGAGAGAAGAGTTTAAAGATTATCTCATAGGCAGTGGTAGGCTTATGTGGGAAAGGGTCCTGGCAGGAAACAAGATGGACCCAATAGGGTAAATTAGAGAGGATTTATTAAAGGGACTGTATATAAAAGTTTGTGGTTAAAATTAAGGGAAGAAAACTAGGGATGGTAAAACACCCAGGGACCAACAATAGCAGGGAGCCGTTACTGTCCTAGGTCTAAAAGCACAGGAGTAGAAAACCATCACTGAAAACTAGGAAGAGCTGTAGCGATAGAAGAGAGTCATCTTTCAGGAACTGTGGCCTTCAACAGAAGGACAAAGCCACCACCAAATTTCTGCTGAGCTGGGAGGAAGCTGGTGAAATAAATACCCCAATTTGTCTTTCCTTCTCAACTCCTGCTGGTACCTTATATTGGCTGAGCTGAATTGTAAGCCAAATGTCAATGAAGCCTAATTTTTGCAGTCCATTAACATTGGCCCCCAGAGGTATAGAGCAGGATGAAAGGTGGAGAGGGAATCTGGAGGGACAAAGGGGGAAAACAGAGTGCTCAGGAGTCATGGGCCCTTGGTGATGAAAAAATACCAGAAACAGAATAGACTGTAGGACATAACTGGAAAGTAAGAGTGTACCATCCTGATGCAAGGAGCTGGAACTCCATGGTGAAGGGACATATTCCTGGGGAAAATGGGTCTATTCAACAAAACAGAATAAAAAAGTCTGAAGTCCACAGTCAGATTGTTTTTGATATCCTCATGGCACAAAATATGAATTATGGCATCATTTTATTTTAATACTTAAGTGGCTTCTGGAGACTCAAGAAAATGATTTGTCATCCATTGTTCATATCCCATTTCTCATTCTTATTAGTATCAATGCTACTTTGTAGACAAGACACTGAGAATTACATTCATCCCTCCTTTATAACACTTTGGTTTTTTTTTATTTATTTTTATTTTTTTATTATTATACTTTAAGTTTTAGGGTACATGTGCACAATGTGCAGGTTAGTTACATATGTATACATGTGCCATGCTGGTGCACTGCACCCACTAACTCGTCATCTAGCATTAGGTATATCTCCCAATGCTATCCCTCCCCAGAGTGTAAATAAATAGAAAAGCTTATTTTCTAACTATATGATAAAAGCCTATACAACTGGATTTGTCTAGTATTTAGCAAAAACCTGATTTAGTTTTGTAATATTATTTGGCCTTATCTTTAAGGCTTTCAAAACTCTAACAGAAATAGTTTTCCTTAAAAGGAGAAAGAGAAATGATTACTCACTTGTTTCAATCTCTTTAGTTGATTATGTTTTTGGTGTGCTAGTCAAGAAGCAAACACAATTCAATATTTTCCACAGACTTAGTCTTATATGTACATTAAATTATCTGAAGCCCCCTTTAAATTTTTTCTGACTAGAATACCTTTCCTTTGTATCAATAGAATTCTTCCCTTTATTCATATTTAGCAATTTATCTAAGTCATTTGTCATGACTGTTAAACATGCTTAGAATTACTAAAGTTAGTAACTTAAAAGTTGAATTAGATTTTCTCTCCAGAGGCTCATATGATAATTGCTCAGCTGAAAAATAATAGAATCTTGTTTTCTTCATTCACATATATTTTGCATGTACTATTCATCATCACTGAAAATGCATCTCTTTTTATCTATTTTCCTAAATTAATGTGAAAGTTGAAAACAAATTATAATCATCTCTTTAGAATTAAGGAGGTTATTACATAAATAGCTTCATGTGATTGTGATAATGAAAAGTATTTATTCAAGAATAACAACTTACATTTATTGGAGTCTTTGAAGTTTATATAGCCCTACAATCCGTGTCATTGCATCCTTGCTACAACCAGGATGGTCAAGAAGAAAAGTGGTATTATTTCCCATTCTACTAAACTGGGGCTCAGAGAGTTAATTTGTGTAAGACTGCATAGCTAGTAAGCAGAAGAGGTAGAACTTTAATATATATCTTCTGAATGTTCCAATTAATACCATGTGCCATAGCCGCACAGGCCTGTAAGAGGATAAGTGGGTTTATGAAAGATATACATGTTTTTTGAAAAGCACTGTTGATGGAGATTCCACCCATTTCTTTGCTAGTACAGCCATCAACCATTTGGCAAGAATTCCTACCATTTATGTATTTTAGAATTATGGCCCCTATATGGCTGTCCAGAAAGGAGATGGAGATATGCTGGTTTGTCATATTTTAGAAAATGAAGCTGATATCCCTTTATGATTAAAACCCTCAGCAAAACAAGCATAGAAGGGACATACCTTAAGGTAATAAAAGCCATCTATGACAAATCCACAGCCATCATAATACTGAATGGGGAAAAGTTGAAAGCATTTCCCCTGAAAACTAGAACAAGACAAAGATGCCCACTTTCACCACTTCTATTCAACATAGTACTGAAATTCCTAGCCAGAGCAATCAGACAAGAGATAGAAATAAAGGGCATCCAAATCAGTAAAGAGGAAGTCAAAGTGTCACTGTTTGCTGATGATATGATCATATACCTAGAAAACCCTGAAGACTTCTTCAAAAAACTCCTAGAACTGAAATATGAATTCAGCAAAGTTTCAGGATACAAAATTAATGTACACAAATCAGTAACTCTGCTATACACCAACAGTGAACAAGCTGAGAATCAAATCAGTAACTCAACCCTTTTTACAGTAGCTGCAAAAAAAACTTAGGAATATACCTAACCAAGGAGGTGAAAGACCTCTACAAGGAAAACTACAAAACGCTGCTGAAAGAAATCATAGATGACACAAACAAATGGAAACACATCCCACGTTCATGAATGGGTAGAATCAATATTGTGAAAATGACCATACTACCAAAAGCAATGTACACATTCAATGCAATTCCCATAAAAATACCACCATCATTCTCAGAACAGAACTAGAAAAAAAAATCCTAAAATTCATATGGAACCAAGAAAGAGCCTGCATAGTCAAAGAAAGACTAAGCCAAAAGAGCAGATCTAGAGGCATCACATTATGTGACTTCAAACTATACTATAAGGCCATAGTCACCAAAACAGTATGGCACTGGTCTAAAACTAGGCACATAGACCAATGCAACAGAATAGAGAACCCAGAAATAAAGCTAAATATAGCCAACTGATCTTCAACAAAGCAAATAAAAACATAAAGTGGGGGAAAGAACGCCTGCCCTATTCAACAAATGGTGCTGGGATAATTGGCAAGCCACATGTAGAAGAATGAAATTGGATCCTCATCTCTCAACTTATACAAAAATCAACTCAAGATGGATCAAAGACTTAAATCTAAGACCCGAAACCATAAAAACTCTAGAAGATAACATCAGAAAAACCCTTCTAGACATTGGCTTAGGCAAAGACTTCATGACCAAGAACCCAAAAGCAAATGCAACAAAAACAAAGATAAATAGATGGGACTTAATTAAACTAAAAAGCTTCTGCACAGCAAAATAATCAGCAGAGTAAACAGACAACCCACAGAGTGAGAGAAAATCTTTGCAATGTATACATCTGATAAAGGATTAATATTCAGAATGCACAAGGAACTAAAACAAATTAGCATAAAAAAACCGAACAATCCCATCAAAAAGTGGGCTAAGAACATGAATAGACAATTCTCAAAAGAAGATATACAAATGGCCAACAACCATATGAAAAAATGCTCAACATCACTAATGATCAGGGAAATTAAAATCAAAAACACAATGCAATACCACCTTACTCCTGCAAGAATGGCCATAATCAAAAAATCAAAAAATAATAGATGTTGGCATGGATGTGGTGAAAAGGGAACCCTTATACACTGCTGGTGGGAATTTAAACTGATACAACCACTATGGAAAACAGTGTGGAGATTCCCTAAGGAACAAAAAGTAGAATTACCATTTGATCCAGCAATCCCCTTACTGGGCATCTACCCAGAGGAAAAAAAAGTTATTATACAAAAAGGATACTTGCCCATGCATGTTTATAGCAGCACAATTTGCAGTTTCAAAAATATGGAAGCTGCTCAAATGCCCATCAGTAAATGAGTAGATAAATTGTGGTATATATATACACCATGGAATACTACTCAGCACAAAATAATGGCATTTGCAGCAACCTGGATGGAGTTGGAGACCATTATTTTAAATGAATTAACTCAGGAATGGAAAACCAAACATCATATGTTCTCACTCATAAGTGGGAGCTAAGCTATGAGGATGCAAAGGCTTAAGAATAATACAGTGGACTTTGGGGACTCGGGGGAAAGGGTGGGAGGGGGTGAGGGCAAAAAAGACTACAAATTGGTACAGTATATACTGCTTGGGTGACGGGTGCACCAAATCTCAGAAATCACCACTAAAGAACCGATGTAACCAAACACCTCCTGTTCCCCAAAAAAACCTATGGAAATAAAAAATAAGTTTTTTTAAAAAAAGAAAAGAGAAAGAAACATTAAAGGCACAAAAAAGAAAAAGGAAATGGAGCTTAAATTGCTGAAGACAACATTTAAATTGTCATTTAACATTCTCATATAAGGTAAAATAATTCCAGTATCTTGGACTCTGAGAACCTGTTTCTCTATTTGGCAACACCTTTTTAAAGTGGTAGAGAGTTTTGGAGTAGGATTAATACCAGGCAAGCCTTGGGTTAGGGAGAAAAGCCAGAGAAAGAAAGATTCTTTAATTCTCCAGTTAAAAATGTTAATTCTGGTCAACAATTTTTTTTAGCATTTGAAAACTTCTCAGGAGGCCCCTTCAACTTTTTACTCCCTTTATTTTTCTCTCTACTTGTCTTCATCTTCCTTGGTTTTTCTTTCTGCTTTATTCCAGTGTGGTGTCATAGTATAGTTTTAATCAGATTAATCTGTGTACAATCCTTGCCTTTCCTAATAAAATCTCATTTTTTGCCTTAAAACCCATTAATATGCTATATACTGTTTATATTTACCCATTTGTATAGCAATTTCTATGTTTACCACTTTTTTTTGCATCTTATACTTTCATCTTGAGAGCATTTTTCTTCTTCCTGAAATAGTCTTTTACTCTTATTTTATTTTTCTTTTATTCCCTTCCTCGAGTTCTAATGGTAGCAAGAATTTCAGTTTTGTCTGTTAAGTATATTTATTTCACTCGTGTTTTGTTTTTTAAAATAACTTTGCAGATATATAATCCTATGTTGGCAGTTACCTTCCCTGAGTATATGAAGTCATTTCACTGTCTTCTTGTCCTGTTATTATTGCTGATAATTCAGCCATTCAACTGTCACCTAGTAATTTTAAAAAATCTATTTCCAACTGATCTGAAGGTTTTTTCTTTGTCTTTAGCTTTTAAGTTTCACGTTCAGTACAATGTATTTAGGTGTGGATATTCAGAATTTTTCCTGAATTTCATTGGAATTCCTAATCCTGATGATCCCAGTTTTTTTAAATCAATTTTGAAAAATTTTAGCCATTGCCTCTTTAAAAATCAATTCTGCTGTTATTTCTTTGAATCACCCACTTGATACGTGTTAGATCTTGTCTTTCTATCCCCGGTGTTTCTTAACTTCTCTTTGATGTTTCCAAATTATTTGTCTCTGTCTGCTATTTTCTGAATAGAACTTTTGGTCTATCTTCCAAGTCAATACTTATAAGTTAAATCTAATATTATTTTAAATAGTTAGACTTCTAAATGTTAATTATTATGCTTTTCATTTCTAGATATTCTATTTGGTTATTTTTGAGTCACTTGTTTCTTACTCATTCTTTGCCTTTGTAATTGTTAGACATATTTAATACATGTATTAAAAATTCTCCTGGCTCTTACTCATGAGGTCCTTGTTATGCCATGTGTCTTGAGATTTGTGTTTGCAAATCATATCCATTAGAACTTTAGCTGAAGAAAAACCTTGAGATGTGTGTTGAAATTTGTTTCCCCCAACTGAATTTTCATTGCTTCTATCAGAGATACTTGGGATCACCAACTTAAAATAACTTTAAATAAATTTTTGGTTTGAGGTGTTTGGATCATAGAGTTACTACTAATTATAGTCACAAACCTACATGATGTTTTCCCTTGTTCACAAACTCTCAGAGGCTTTTAAGTTCCATTTAGAGTCAAGTTTTGAATATGCATGTTTCCTGCTATCCCTCCTTTTGTATAGCACACTTCATGGCTCATATAGTAGAGGGTCTTCAAATAGATTATCCACCTTACCTTGGCTCTAGCGTTTCTCTATTATCCCCTCCCTCCCACACCAATGTGCATTAAAACTAAAGTCATAGGTGTCTGGGATCAAAAGGTACTCTAAGCTAATCTGTCTTTAGCATTTAAATTTTACTCTAAATCTATGCTTTCTTGTTTTGGACCTCTGAGAATTTTTCTTCATGGCCAATTCACCTTTGTTTTTAAAAACATACATTTTATCCATAAAATTTAGATGTTTTGTAGTGAGAGGTTTTTCAATCTATTTAATCTTATTTCTTGCTTGAATTAGATGATGTCATAGAACTCTCTCTGCAAATATTAATACTAGCCATCCCTTTACCTAACTGTTGTAACTAATCTTCAGAGATGATGCCCCAGTGAACCGTACCTTCTGGAATTCACACCCTAGAGAAGTCTCCTCCTATGTTGAAACTGAGCCGGCCATACATAACTAGTAAAATGCAAGAAACTGTGACATTACATGACTCCCAAGGCTAGGTCATATGAAGCCTTGTAGCAGCATCTTCCTTGTTTTTTTGGAATGCTCACTGTTGGGATGTACCTTCTTGTACCCAGGCACCATGGCATAAGGAGCCCAACCTCCAGAAAGAGGCCACATGTAGGTCCTCTTGTAACTGTCCCAGGTGAACTCCTATTCAGTATCCAACAGCCAGTACCAAATACCAGTCATATAAGCAAGCCATCTTGGAAGTTTGGTCCAGTTGAACCTTCAGATGACTCAAGCCTCAGCTTCCATGTAACAGCTAGAGAGATTCCAATCAAGAATCTCTGGATGAACCCACTCAATCTACTGGATCATGAAAGATATTAACAAATTATTGCTTTAAGCCAGTAAGTTTTTGGATAGTTTATTACACAACCATACATTACCAGATCAACAGTCAAGATGTTTTGAATTAGTAGCCCTTGTATCTCTTTGCAAATCTGTAGTCTAACATGCTATGTTGATATTATAAGGCATTTTAATTTTCAAACTCTTTGAACAAGAGCACCTAATTTTTGCATCATATATAATCTATGCACATCAATTAACAACTATGAGTATATGAAGATAGATAACTAATAGAGATACTATTTACTCTAGGTATTAATTATTTAAATATGTGCCATTTTAAAAACATTAGAAGATTGTATTAGTCCATTCTCATGCTGCTATAAAGAACTGCCCAAGACTGGGTAATTTATAAAGGAAAGAGGTTTAGTTGACTCACAGTTATGCATGGCTGGGGAAGCCTCAGGAAACTTACAATCATGGCAGAAGGGGAAGCAAACATGTCTTTCTTCACATGGTGGCAGAAGAGAGACTGAGTGCCAAGCAAAGAGGGGAAAGCCCCCTATAAAACCATCAGATCTTGTGAGAACTCACTATCATGAGTGAGCATGGGGTAATAACCACCTTCGTGATTGAATTACCTCCCACCGGGTGCCTCCCATGACATGTGGGGATTATGGGAACTACCATTCAAGATGAGATTTGGGTGGGGACACAGCCAAACCATATCAAAGATCATATAAGAACACATCTTCATAATCTCAGTATTGAAAAATATTTCTATTCTAAGATAAAAACAGTAAAAACCATAAGGAAAAAGATGAATAAATGTTACCAAGATAAAAACAGTAAAAACCATAAGGGGAAAGATTAACAAATGTTACCAATAATATTTTATTTATAAAGTTTATAAATTTATTAATATTTGATTTATAAAATTTATTTTAATAATATGATCAAGAAAGTGAAAAGCCACAAACCAGGAAATATTTGTAAGACATAAACTGGCAAAGCATTGTTATAAAATAGTCTTTATACATATAGAAGACAAAGGAAACAACTTAATTGAATAGTTTTCAAAAAAATTAACAGGTATTTCACAGATGGAACACAAATGGTCAGTAAACATATTGAAATGGTACTGAACCCTTAGTAATCAGATAAATGTACACCAAAATCACAGTGAGATACTATTTAACATTGTCCAGGTTGGCAAAAATTAAAGTCTGAAGAGGCCAAGTGTTGGTAAAGATATAAAATTATATCTTTTTTACTTAGTTATAACCTTTTTACATTATGGCAAGAGCATAAATTTTATAACACTTCAGAAAACAACTTGGCATCCTCTAATAAAATGGAAGCTGTGCATATATTAGGACCCAATGGTTCTTCCTCTAAATATGCATGCTAGAGAAACTTTGCACATGTACAACAGAAGAAATGTATAAGAATATTATGCAGCATTATTATAGCAAAAAACACACAAAACTGGAAATGATCCAAAGCCCATCAGCAGTGAAACAGATAAAGAAATTGTGTAATGTTCAAAGGATGGAGAAATACAGCATGAAAAGGAATGAATCCTTGATATGTACAATTACATAATATTGACCTAAATCACAGAATACATTCTCATTCAATTTATGTACTGTCTAAAACATGAGAAATTAAACTGTGTGTGTGTGTATGTGTGTGTGTGTGTGTGAAAACAAAATGCTAAGAAAATTTTTCAGTATGAAAGCTGACATAAGACATCAGGTGGCCAGGTGCGGTGGCTCATGCCTGTAATCCCAGCACTTTGGGAGGCCACGGCGGACCGATCACGAGGTCAGGAGATCGAGACCATCCTGGCTAACACAGTGAAACCCCGTCTCTACTGAAAAAAAAAAAAAAATTAGCCAGGTGTGGTGGTGGGTGCCTGTAGTCCCAGCTACTTGGGAGGCTGAGGCAGGAGAATGGCGTGAACCCAGGAGGCGGAGCTTGAAGTGAGTCGAGATTGCGCCACTGCACTCCAGCCTGGGCAACAGAGCCAGACTCGGTCTCAAAAAAAAAAAAAAAAAAAAAAAGGAGATCAGGTAATAGATTACCATTCAGTAGGATTCAGAAGTATTGGTGATTTTTTGTGTCTTATGTTATCTGTGGCTACAAGGCAATTTATTTTATTATTATATATAATTTATATGTATTATACACATTTGTGTAAGTGTATAATATTTCATCATATGCCATTTTCAAAATGCAATGAATATTTCAATTAGTGGTGAACTTAATCAAAAATGAAGCTTAAAAAGAAGTCTGAGAGATAAATCCCAATCCAAGAAATGAGTAATGGGAACAGATGTAAATATTCAGTTTCTCAAATGAGTATTTAAAAGTTAGAGGTGACATCCTCAGTCTACTTTATATAGGTTTCACACAGCTTTTTCACATTTCAACTATAGTCAGATCCCATTATTCTAATGTCATGTTTATCATGAAACCTTCCAAGGCAGCATGTACCTAGGAAGCTTACACACTGCCCAGGCCTATGGGTTACTTGGCAGCCCAGTGGCTATATTTTCATTCTGGCTTATATGTCAGGTTATTAGGTATTATAGAATTAGTATGTCACATTCCTGATTAATAACATATTTGAGGCTCTAACAAGATTAATTTTATAAACCTGCAAGGCTAAGAACCAGGATTTAGACTGTGAAGAATACGTGGATGAATGCCACATTTTGAAACGTCTTGGGTATCAGTAAGCTGATCTCCCTAGATACTGTAACCTAGAGCCCCACTTTCATAATATTTATTTTCCTTATTTTCACATATAGATAGGTCTTAAGTCCCTACAAAGAAGAAATAATGCTTCATATTACTTTGTCTAATCTTCAAAGAAATAACAGTATTTTGCATAAAGTAAATGCCTAACTAATATTCGTTGACTGGTTGATTGGTATAGGACTGTTGGGTACACATGCACTAATGAGTTAGCATCTATATTATGCTTCAAAATAATAAAGTCATCATTGTCTATAATGAATGTAATTCCATGTCAGCTACAAAATGCTAACTTACTTGCAAATATAAAAATATTGTTCAACTTCAAATAATTCACTCTTTCCAAATTCAGCTTCTTTTCAGCATTCTCGGAATCCAAGGCAATCCAGAAGAGGCATTTTATGGAATGGGGGTTAGATACTCATGAAGTCAATAACAAAAGTTTCAAATGTGAGAACTCCCCAAAATACATTTTCAGCGAAGGTATCATGATAACGAAGGTGATGTCAAGGGATTTTTCACATCAGTGGCAGAACAAAACCTAGAAGATTCTAAGACAAGTGCTACTGCAACAATCAATCTCATTGTTATTCATTATTATCATCTTTAGAATTGTAGCAAAGGAGAAATCTTTCTAATGCATCCAAGTGGAATTACATTTTATTTATTCTCCAAATTACTGTTTGTCCTGTTAATGTTTATGAAAAGAAACGCTGCATTTCTCACATTAGCCAACAGGGAAGCAATCACTTGCCATGAATCATCACTGGAAATATAAATTGTTTCAAGCATTTGACACATTTATGGCCTGTGAACATTGAACACTAATAAGCAGAACTCCAGTCCTAAAATAATTTTTCTGACTTCTAAACAATTTAATCCAGAAATGTTCTGGACAGACATCCAATTGCCTGCATGGAGCCTGGAAGAGCAGTGATTTCCCATTTAGGCTTCATGTCCTTGAAGCTTGTCTCTCTGCATGATGGGCATCTTTATGCCTTCTGCAAAATAAAAAGGAGAGAAGCAAGCTGGACTTTTGAAAATTAGAGAGAGTAAATGCAGAGTGACATCAGCTCTAAGTGTTCTTGCTCTATGGACATTGCTGGCCATTGAAAACAGCTTTAAATTCATCAGTACCAATGCTTGTAGCAGCCTGCACAAATCAATGTACAGAAACTATGCTTTGTTTTCGTCATTTTTTATTACTATGCTTCTAACAACTTATCTAATCCAACAGAGTGGGCTCTTTAATATGCCTTTGATTTCCAATATAACCAATGCAAGGAAATAAAGGACATATGGGCCAATCACTGGCCATGAAAGTCAAGAGCCATTGTGGACTCTGCAGTGGTAGCTCAGAGGTCTCACTTTGAGAGAGAGACTCTCTACCTGATCCCTGAGATATTTGTGATGCTTAATTTAAGGTGTCACCTTGACTGGATTAAGAAATACCTAGAGAATTGGTAAAGCATTATTTGTGGGTGTGTCTGTGAGGGAGGGTGTTTCCAGAGGAGATTGGCATATGAGTCAGTGGAGTGAGTGGGAAAAATCCATCCTCAATGTGGTGGGCACCATTCCATAGGCTGGGGTCCTGGATAGGACAAAAAGGCAGAGGAAAGGCAACTTCATTTCTCTCTCTCTCTCTCCCGAAGATAGGACACACTTCTCCTTTCATTGAACATCAGGGTTCCAGGCTCTCCATCCTTCGGACTCCAAGACTTGCATCAGTGCCCTCTCCCAGGTTCTTAGGCCTTTAATTTCAGATTGAGAATTACACCATTTGCTTCCTTGGTTCTGAGGTTTTTGGACATGGACTGAGCCATCCACCAGCATCAGGGTGTCCAGCTTGCAGATGGTCCAGCTTGCAGATGGTCACAGGACTTAGTCTCCATAAGTGCATGAGCCATTACCCCAATAAATCTCTGTCATATATCTATACAGGCATACCTCAGAGATATTGTAGATTTGGTTCCAGACCATTGCAATAAAGTGAATATAATAAAAAAGTGAGTCATACAAATTTTTTGGTTTCCCAGTGCATATAAAAGTTATGTTTAGTGTATTAAGGTGTGCAATATTATGTCTAAAAATAATGCACATACCTTAATTTAAAAAATACATTATTGCTAAAAAATGCTAACTATCATCTGAGCCTTCAGTGAATTGTAATCTTTTTTCTGGTAAAGAGTCTTGCCTCTATGTTGATGGCTGCTGACTAAACAGGGTGGTGGTTGCTGAAGGTTGGGTTGGCTGTGACAGTTTCTTAAAATAAGACAATATTGAAGTTTGCCACATAGATCGACTCCTCTTTTCATGAAATATTTCTCTATAGGGTGCAATGATGTTTGATAACATTTTGCCCCCAGTAGAACTTCTTTCAAAATTGAAGTAAATCCTCTCAAACCCTGCTGCTGCTTTATCAACTAAGTTTATGGAATATCCTGAATCCTTTGTTGTCATTTCAACAGTGTTCACAGCATCTTCACCAGGAGTTGATTCTAACTCAAGAAACCACTTGCTTTGCTTATCCATAAGTAACAACTCCTCATACGTTTAAGTTTTGTCATGGGTTTGCAGCAATTCAGTGACATCTTCAGGATCCACTTCTAATTCTAGTTCTCTTGCTATTTTCACCACATCTGCAGTTACTTCCTCCAGTGAAGTCTGGAACCCCTCTCAAAGTCATCCATGATGGTTGGCATCAACTTCTTCCAAACTCTTGTTGACATTTTGACATCCTCTCATGAATCACAAATGTTCTTAATGGTATCTAGAATGGTGAATCCTTTCCAGAAGGTTTTCGATTTACTTTTCCCAGCTCCATTAGAGGAATCACTGTCTATGGCAGCTATAGATTTACAAAATGTATTTCTTAAATAATAAGACTTGAAAGTCAAAATTATTCCTTGATCTGTGGACTGCAGAATGGATGTTGTGTTAGCAGGCATGAGAAAAACATTAATCTCCTTTTACATCTCCATCAGAGGTCTTGGGTGACCAGAACCCTTGGGTGCATTGTCAATGAGCAGTAATATTTTGAAAGGAATATTTTTTCAGAGCAGTAGGTCTCAAGAGTGGACCTAAATGTTCAGATTAGCTGTCATCCAGCCTTTGTTGTTCCATTTATAAAGCAGATGCACAGTAGAGTTTGCATACTTTTTAAGGACCCTCGGATTTTAAGAATGGTAAATGGGCATTGTCTTCAACTGAAAGTCACCAGCTGCATTACCTCCTAACGAAAGAGTCAACCTGTCCTTTGAAGCACTGAAGCCAGGCATTGACTTCTCTCTAGCTATGAAAGTCCTAGATGGCATCTACTTCCAATAGAAGGCTGTTTCATCTACATTGAAAATCTGTTGTTTACGCTAACCCCCTTCATCAATGATCTTAGTCAGATCTTCTTAATAACTCGTTGTAGCTTCTACATCAGGACTTACTCGAGCACGTTGCATTTTTATGTTATGGAGGTGGCTTCTTTACTGAAAACTCATGAACCAACCTCTGTCAGCTTCAAACTTTTCTTCTGCAGCTTCCTCACCTCTTTCAGCCTTATAGAATTGAAAAGAGGTGTTGGGGGCCTTGCTCTGGATTGGACTTTGGCTTAAGGGTATGTTGTGACTGCTTTGATCTCCAATCCAGGCCACTTGAGCTTTCTCCATATCAGCGATAACGCAGTTTCACTTTCTTAACATTTATGTGTTCCCAGAAGTAGCACTTTTATTTTTCTTCACGAACTTTTCCTTTGCATTCATGACTTGGCTGTCTGTGCAAGAGGCCTAACTTTTGGCCTATCTCAGCTTTCCATATGCTTTCCTCATTATGCCTAATCATTTCTAGCTTGATTTCAAGTGAGAGACATATGACTCTTCCTTTCATTTGAATACTTGAAGGCCATTGTAGGGTTATTAGTTGTCCTCATTTCAATATTGTTGTGTCTCAGGGAATAGGGAGGCCCCAAAACAGGGAGAGAAATGAGAATGGCCAGTCAGTAGAGTAGTCGGAACACATACAACATTGATCGATTAAGTTTGCCATCCTATACGGGTGTGGTTCATGGTGCCCCCAAACAATTACAGTAGTAACATCAAGGATCACCATTCACAGGTCACCATAATAGATATAATAATGAAAAAGTTTGAAAGATTGTGAGAATGTTGTCATTTCAACAATGTTCATAACATCCTTAGCAGCTGTAGATTCCATATCAAGAAACCACTTTCTTTGCTTGTCCGTAAGAAGCAACTCATCATCCATTCAAGTTTTATCATGAGATTGCAGCAATTCAGTCACATAATGTGACACAAAGACACAAAGTGAGCACATGCTGTTGGAAAAATGGTGCCAACAGACTTGCTCAATGCAGGATTACCATAAATCTTCAGTTTGTAAAAAATGCAATATCTGTGAAACAATAAAGCAAATTGTAATAAAACAAGGTATGCCTATATATACATATCCTATTGGTTCTGTCTCTCTGGAGAACTCTAATACAATATTATAGGTAGTTAAGAAATGGCAATCGTTAATATTGATATCACAAGCCATATGGCTTAGTAAATATCATAATGGCCATGCATCCTCATGCCAGAGGTCTTCTCATCTAGAAATCTATTTTAATCTATGGCCCTATAGTGAGAAGAGAGTCTATTTGAGACAAATCTCTCATAAAATTCAGGAGGTGCATTTTATCAAGGTGAAATTGTCTTTATTGTTCTCTGGGAAAGCATCTCTAACAACGAAAGATTTGGTAAAAACAACTTCTTGCCTTCTCTAATTTGCCTCAAACCTCTATTTGGTGGGTGTCTATTGTAAATTAATAGTCTTTTCTTAACTTCTTCATATTTTCAAGTGGAGGAAAGAATGTCTGTACTTGAGGAGGACGTTTTTTCTGTAGGAAACCCGTTCAGTAAAAGTCCTGACACAGGATATTGATATATTGGATATCTTTTGACTCTTTCTTTGAGGAAATTGACTCTGAGACTCTTAATGTGGGCATTCCATTCAACATATTTGTGTGTGTGTGTGTGTGTGTGTGTATCTTAATATAATAGTAACCAAAGTTTAATGTAATGGAATCACAAAAACATAATTATTAAAGTAGTTGTGGGCATATAGTAGGCTTTCAGTGACTTAAAAAATAACAGCAATCACACGTAATGAGAAATAATTTTGTTGATGGGTAGTAAATATAAAAAGTATGACTGTCACTTAATCATATAGACCTGAGAAAATTGATAAACTTACACAAACTATAGATTCCTCATTAAAATATATAGATATCAATTATTTTTCTGCCATATAATGTGGGTATTTTGAAAACTATAAAGCATTATGTATATGTTAGAGTTCTTAAGGTTTATCAGTATCAGTAAATGATACTGATGTTAAGAAAAGTGTTTTTATTTTTTATATCTATTTTTTAAAGTTTAATATGTAGCATGATATAGACCAAATATTGTGTGTTGGTCCTTATGACATAGGATGGGTCACAATCTTTTCATTTCTCTTGTAAAAAGAGTACAGAATAAGGTTTCCACATACCTCAACCAGTTACAGTTTGGTAAGTTAGAGGCATAGGAGAATTAGACTTCAGTTTCCATTGCATTGCAAATAAAACCTTTTCAAAGCTCCTAAATCTTACTGTCCTTGAAAGTGGAATTGTCCAATGAACAAAGTTAAAACATGAATTTTAACAGTAAGTAGATGAGATTAAATAAATTAAGTAAATGAGATTAAGACTCTAAAAACACATCCTCAGGTCTGATTTCACGTGATTTTCAAGAGTATTCTACATAGAAATATTTTATGTAACATATGTGTTTATGTAATTATGTAACACTTTATGTTATATAAATTTTATATATTATGAGAATGACACTGAGAGGGATTAAATGACTTGTCCAGTCACATAACCAATGAGTGTTAGAGGTAGAACTCGAATCAAGGATATTGAATTAATAATCTCTTACTTTGAATTTAATTTTATGCTTTAGACTGCTGCGCCACTGAACTTGGTTTCCTTTCAAATAATCACAGATCTTAACTTGTTAATTCCCTAACAAGTAGTTTTTTGAAAGAACTATTTGTGGACTATACATATGTACTTATATTATTTTGTTTAAGCCACAAATTTCTGGTATATATTTAAAATTATATACTAGTTATCATCAATACCATTATGATGATTGTCATTATCATTGAATGTATGGGGATATAATGGTGGACCAAAGCATGTACTGTCTCTGTCCATTGCAAAGCTTGCTACATAAGCAAACAGTCATACACATGTATACATACAATGATGACGAGCTCCTTGAGTCAGAGTTGGAGAGCACTATGAAGGCCTGTAATAGAATTGTTAGAGTAATGCAGGTCAGGAAAGGCCTTCCAGAGATTTGAAAAATAGGCTGGTGTTAACCAGACAAAGATGGGGGACATGATATACTTCATGAACAATACGGTAAGCATTAGGGAGTAAGAAAAAAGACCAATATGGCTACAGGGGAAGAAATGAGATGATTAGTGGATGAGATGAGGAACAATGTAGGCATGGGCCAAACCATGTGGAACCTTTAGGTCATTGAGTAGTTTCCTTGTTCTACACAAATATCAATGGAGAACCATAGTATTAACCAGGGGCTGTGACATAATCAGATTCTGATTCTGAACAAATCACTCTGGTTTCAGCATACAGGATGAGGTAGTAGAAGACCAGCTGTTGGTTCAGGTAGATTAGTAAGAGGATGGCTGCAGCAGTACAGGCAAGAGATAAAGATATCTCAACTGGGGTCATGGAGGTTGAGATGGAGGGAAGTGAGAAGATTTAGGAGAAAAAAATCAATAGGGCTTGGTGAAGAACTAGATATAGTGGATGATGGAGATGATGCCTTGGCCTTTGGTTGGTAACAATGAAATAGACACAGTAGAATAGGAGTAGGAGTTGGAGGAATTATCAGAAGTTCGGTTTTGACATGAAGAGTTTAAGCAGCTTTTGAGACATACATTAGGAATTGTTTAGAAAGCAGTTGGATGTATAGGTCTGGGTAGAAATATACATTTCTGTGTCATGTACATAAAATGATAATGGAAATTATATTACCATAATATTTTCTAAGCGAGTGTACTGCAAGAAGAGGAGACAGCCTAGAATATAGCCTTTAGGAAATCCAACTTTTATAGGCCAGGTAGAGGAGGATATGCCTGCCAAGAAGACAGAATAGGAGGTAATCCAGGAGTGCACTGTGTCACAGGGTCAATAGAGGGAAGTGTTTCCAGGAGGAAGAAAAGGCCAATGACATTAGGTACCATGGAAATGTCAAGTAAGATGAGAACAGAAAAATGTCTTTTGGACTTAGTTACAAGAAATTCACTGGCAGACTTAGTGAGAGCTGTTTCTGTGGATTGATAGGGCTGGAATCCAAATTTAGGAGAGCTGAGAAATCAAATGAGGAGGCTAAACTAGATCCTCTCTAATGTCCCTTACAACTCTACAATAATATAATGCTGTGATTTCATGCTGCTGGCCTGAGTCTCCTTTGTCACAGATTTCCTTACTCATCCTATTCCTGGTTAATAACACAACTCTTGTTAAAAGAAATGATTCGGCTGGGCGCGGTGGCTCACGCCTGTAATCCCAGCACTATGGGAGGCTGAGGTGGGCGAATCACAAGGTCAAGAGATCAAGACCATTCTGGCCAACATGGTGAAACCCTGTCTCTATTAAAAATACAAAAATTAGCTGGGTATGGTGGCATGTGATTGTAGTCCCAGCTACTCAGGAGGCTGAGACAGGAGAATCGCTTGAACCCGGGAGGTGGAGGTTGCAGTGAGCTGAGATGACGCCACTGCACTCCAGCCCGGTGACAGAGTGAGACTCCATCTCGGGAAAAAAAAAAAAAGAGAAATGATTTACAAAGACTATATTATTTAAGCATCGTTACAACCTTAAATTTGAGAGAAATAATTTTCTTCTATCTTTATACCTAATTTTCTTTTGGAAAGAATCTTGAACACAAAAAAATCTGTGCTATTTTTCCATGTAGAACCAATTGAAGAAATATTTCCAGGAATTGATTTTATATATTTTTTTGGGTCAGGACAGCAGGGATAAAATCAGGTCTAGAGTTTCCATGTGGATGAATTTGGAAGTGAACAGATTTGAAGCTGCAGTCCAGGGATGTCTCACACTACACCATACTGTTTTTCTTTTAAATTGAATCATTTTCTCTAGGCTTTGAAAGTTAAGAAAACATATTTGAAGAATTGATTTTGTATGTAAATAGAATGCTTGGGCACTACTGCATTTCATCTAAAAAGAGATTCCTGTATTTTCACTGTCTTACTGGGATAGACATCTTATGAAAGGGCATATAGACTCTTGCTACTCAAAGTGTGAACTGTGGACAAGCAGCATCAACTTCAGCTAGGAACTTCTTAGAAATGCAGAATCTCAGGCCCCACCCCAGACCTACTGGATCATAATCTGCATTTCAATAAGATCCTCTGGTGATTTATATTAACATTAAAAGGTAAAAAGAACTTGCCATCTTTTTTCTCTGAATCTACTTCTTAAAAACATAGAATTCATTGTTACTCTACTATGATATTTAAACTGATCCAAAGTTAGTCATTTACGGAGTAAAAATTAATCATATTATTTTGTTTTAAAATTAAGACCTCCAGTAAAGCACATAGGTGACTAACAAGGAATATTCCACAAAAAGTAGGTTACTCTCCTAGCTTATGGTAGGACATGCATTTTTCATTCCCCCTTCCCAGAAGCTGCTAATTATCCGCATTGGACTATCTACCCTTCCTCTTTTTTATTAATAATAATATTTGTAATTTTGATTTGAAATAGCAGGGTTACTCGTCAGACTTTTGTACAGATTTATGAACTTCCACTATTTTCAGTCCCTTTAGCCAATTTAGGAGAATAGCATATGCACTTTATTACATGACTGTTCCTAGTGATTAACATCTGGAATGGGCAGATGAACTAAACTCCCAGTTGCACTTTTCCTTGCTCCATTTCTAACATGGAGCCCTGCTCTAACCTTTAACCATGGCAAGAAAAGATTGCTACTGCCCCCTGCCGGCCCATTGTCTCATTTCCTTTTCTACAAATCTGTGACTTGCGGATGCCCAAGGATTTTGAGCCACTGAAGAAAGCTCAGTTGGAAGGGGCTTTCCCTAGTACAGAGGTAGAGAGATCCTTTGGGACTAGGCGGCTAAAATCAAATGAAAACATTAAAAAGGCGAGGAAGGCATAAAGGACTTCTAAATTAAATTATCGATCTTCATGAACCTTCTTCTGCACGCGGGCTTCTCTGTGCCAAGGAAATGTTCCCTTCTCTTCGGCACAGGACTCCTCTTTGCCTCCGGCTTGCACTGACAAAGAGTGAACTGTCCACACCCTTATTATAATTTCAGTACTCTGAATCCTGTTCTCTGTTTCCCCCAATTTCGTTTTCCCACGATTAAACCTTATTCCCTTCCCTTTTCTGCTTCAAATTCCCGTCCCGCCCACCCACCGACAGCCTAGCATTTCCAGGAGCTCAGACCCCACTTCCCTCACCCTCTCCGTCTCCCGACCTCTCTTCTCCTCTTGCTGTCATCGTACCCCCTTCAGTATCCCCTCGCTGAACGGCCAGTCACTCTTTGCCTTCGAACAGCAGGCACGTCCCCTCTTGAATGCTTTTCCCCGACCCCCGCCCCAAGCAACTGAAAAAGGAAACATGCGCACTTCAGAGCTTGGAGCTGTCCGAGTGCTGAAATTTATAGGCTGGGTAAGATCACGTCTCCGTCTCATTCTATAGCCCTCATTCCAGCACAGGATCTCAGCAATTTTTCCCTCTTCCCCCCACCCACTCCAGCGCGCAGAGTCCTTTCTTCTCTCTCATTTACAACTTCTTTTTAAAAGAAAACATTTTCTAGAAAAAGGGCTTTGCTAAACAGAAAAGATATAAAACAAAAGCCACAGCTATCTAGCATGGCATTGTCACCAACTCCCTTTGCATGGTGATGCGATTAAGGTAGCAGCATTTTTATTATTCAGGAAAAGCAGCTGGGGGATTCATCAGTTCTGAGGCTTTGTCTTTCTGGGTTAACTGATGGTCCCAAGCCTCGGTTTGACCTGACCATGATGCCCAGGACTGGCACTTTTTCTTTTTTCTCAGCAAACTGTACAAAACCAAATCTCTTTTTGATTTTCAAGGAAACTAGGTTCCTGCCAAATTTTGAATCTGGACAATAAACAGACACTTTGTCCTAGCATCTTTCTGGAATCATTTCGGGATATTTTCCACAAGCAACACAGAAACAGGAATGAACCGGCAGCTAGTGAACATTTTGACAGCCTTGTTTGCATTTTTCTTAGAGACAAACCACTTCAGGTAGGTGAAACGACTTTGCATGTTGATATTTAAATTGTTTAAAAGAGAATGTGTCATGTAATTGTGTATTTATCTGTGCTCTGGACTATATTATTTTAATTTTATAGAGGAAAGTTAGATATCTTTTGTTCATTTAAAACGCCTAATAATTGTGGGAGGGTGGTAAATTTTTCACAAAAGCAAGTTTTATGATGCATAGCCGCACTCTATGCAATTCAACACACATTTTCACAGCCAACGTGATATTAAGGTAGTCTGATGAGTTGCATGCTCTTTACATTTCTATATAAGGGTAATTATTTTTCTGAAAGTAATTTAAAGAGATTATTGGGTGCAGTGTTTTTCATATAAGATGATTGTATTAATTTGGCAGGAGCATGCTCATTTTAGATAAAATATAAAAGATCCCTAATTCTCAGCCAACTTGGGACTTCTGTTATATTTCAGAAACTAGAAGCATACTATGAGGACTACAATTCAGGAATTTTCTTGAAATATCAAAAATTTCTTTTTACTACTATATTCTACTATTCAATCTGTTTGGAAATGGATTGCCTACCAAAATTTAGTTAATATGACATAATTGTATTTATGTACATATGAGAAGTGGAGCATGCATAATTTTAAAAAGTGAGAAATTACTATTTTCATGCTTGCATTTTCTACATGGTTTACGAATAGTTGCCAAATCAATTGATACCTCAAAATATCAAATCATTACCAGTAAGTGAAATAGTCATCTAATAACAGAGAGTGGAAGACTGAGCAGAGACAGGAGATGCTCTTACAACAAAGTATAGGACTCTAAATTTAATTTTCATTAAATTTTATGGCATTTTTTCACAGAACCAAGATAAATGGAACACATAGTAATAATGCTATGAATACTGGGAAAACCCACTATGTTCCTTTCAGGTTTACACCTCCTACTATGATTAAGAAAAAATATAGGCTGGTTTTTATTAGAATCATCATCATCATCATCATCCTCACCACCACCACCATCATAATCAAATAATACTTGATTAATCAGATGAATCTGCATATGAGAATGTGAGTATTTATGCATGCTCATATCAATTTTTAACTCCTACAAAATATTTATATCATCTTTGCACTTATTTTGAATACCCCTTCTTTGAAAAGCTGGCAAGAATGTGGTATTTTCTTAGTGATAGAATTCATAAGACACTATTTGTTAAACTATTGAAAACAAAGCTTATAAAATACATACTTTAGGGAAGAAATTTCAGTTAACCACTATGTATTGTGAAATAATTAATTTTGCTACAAACCAAATATGCTATGTTTAATAAGCTCTTTATTACTTTTAACAGGAAAATGAAAATCTGAGAAATTTTTCACCAACTTTCAGTGTTTTGGTGATAAAAAGTCAAAATGATTTAGAAGTGTGTTTTCATCAATATTTTTTAGAGAGTCAACAATTTAAATGCTTATATAAGCATTTAATATATAAGCATATAAATAACTGATAAAATAATAGAAGTCATATACATGCTCATTGTTGACCTATTTTAAAAAGAAATGAAATGTCCAAATGAAGGTTCTCTTTTAGATATCACATTGAAAAATATTAATAGTTGATAGTTGGATTAGAACTAGCAGATGGGAAAAATAAGCAATGAAATAATAAGTTTGTTCTGCCCATCTTATTATATATTTCTTATAAAAGGTAGATGACTTATATTTAGGGCCGAAATGCTGAAACAATTTTTTTAAGTCAGATAGAAATGATTTTAAGACAATCACATGAATTTAAAAAAATATCATCTCATTTCTCTGAATAGTTTTAACTATATATACATAAAATCTACAACCTAAAACTAAATACATTGTCTGTTCTCAAACATCTTATGGTTAAAGTTTGGAAACCTGGGTGACGCGACTCAGGATTTATAGTTCTCATCATTTAAAGTTAACTTTAGAACATGTACAAGTTCAGAAGTTGGCCAAAGAGTTTGGATTTTTCTAGTTTTCTTCATACTAACATATCAAATATCTTTACCAAAATGTAAAGTTAAAAATGCAGTGAGCGTTAGCTCTCAAGGGATGCAAATGAAATTGTTGCTAAAAGAGTTAATGATGTGTTTAGGACGGCTTTCTGCAAAGACCATGACTCCAGGTCTGGAAAACAACCTTCACAGACCCTATCTCCTTCAGATTTCTTGGACAAGTTAATGGGAAGGACATCAGGATATGATGCAAGAATCAGGCCAAATTTTAAAGGTAGGTTCCACTTAAACTTACGTTAAGCCTTTGAGAAATCTTCTAGATGTTTGAATAGTTAACTGAAAAACATTTTCAGGGCTTTTAATTATAAAATGAAAATGACAAGTATAGTGTTCATTTTATTTTGGTATTCTTTTGCGTTAGTTACTGATATTTTCATTTTACCTGTCACTTCCCACATTTGAAAACTTTCCTTGTTTGTGTTCTATTTCACAAATAAAACTAGTGTCATAAATTATGGCCACAGTCCTTATTTTTTCGTAAGTGGGAGTGTGGCTGAAAGTGAATACAAGAGCAAGTGATAGACTTGACTTGCTTGAATATCTACCAGGATGCATGCAAGATTCAGTGGTTACTCCAAAATATTTGGTTTTGATTTTAAATACCTACATCAAAGTAGAGTTTAAATCTCTATAAAATATGCCACTTTACATACTTTCAGGCCTCTTTAATTTTTAGACTTCGTAAGAAGAGGTTCTAATTTTTTGTTCCTTTTTGTTTAAGCATTCTCATTGTTTATTTGAAATTGTTTATTTGAAATCAACAAAGATCACAGAATTTTAAAGTGCACATGTCAAAGATGGTGGATACTTTCTTTGTTCAATTAGAAGCAAACCAATATTTTTTGTTTTTATTTGTTGAACATTACAAAAATATACTTAATAGTCTGCAGAAATGCTTTTTAAATATATTTAGTTTATTTTTATTCTGAATCAGAAAAAAAGAATAAGAATCAATTACTAATAACTGAATCATGTTGATGCTTTAATTTTTAAATACATAGTTTAAGTGATGTTGTCTTTTTCTTGTAATGAAATTTAACATAATGCATTGTGAAGTGTTTATAACATTTTATAAAAGGAGAAACCTATAATGTTCTGGATATTATGTAGCAATTCATGCATTGCTTACTTTTGTTTATTAGCAATTTAATGGCACACTTTTCTTCAGTGTTGATTTTTATTATTGGCAAATATAAGCATGAAAACTAAATTTTAAATTCATTTCTTCTTTAAATGTTACACCTCTGAATATACCCAGGTATGGGCATATTTTATAAAGAAATATGTCAGAATTTTGGTGAAATAGTATTTTTTAAGTATCTCCAAGAGAGATAACTGAACTACATTCAGAGATAAATTTTTCTGAAAAAAAAAAAAAGATGGTCATGTTCATCCCATTTCTTAATTTTGTGGTCATTGCTTTGGAAGTCAATATTTGAAATAAAATCTTGTGAGTAACAAACTGAGAACCAGCTTTCAATGGGATTGCTCATTCATATATTTATCCACTAAGTCATTGAACAACTTTTGAGTCTGGACTATCTGCAAAATACTAACTGTTGGGTGCTTTGTAAAATTGGGAGATGAAACAGTTTAGGTGCTTCTATCAAAAATTTTAGTGGAGGGAGGAGATGTTACATGAATACTTTTACTATTAGATGGAAATAGGAAAGTACCATTAGGAAATACAGGTAAATCACTACAGGATTCCAAGAAATGGAAAGATAATTTCCTATTAAGATATTAATGGAAAGCTTTATAGAGAAGGTCCAGAGATGGAAAATTGTTTCAAGTTTACAAGCATCTTCTTTCATAGCTGTTATTCATTTCTTTCTAGAAATACTTTTTCAAAAGGGCAGGAAAGTACAAAGAGTAATAAAACACACCCATGTTGACATTGCTACTTTAAGTGACCACACAAGAATGAGCCATCATTTCCACATCCAATTTTTTCCTGGTTCTTCCGGGGATATCACCTTTGGGAAATGATATTTATCATGGTTCCAAAGGATAAATAAATGAGGAGAATGTCAGGTTCAGCAAAGTGTGGCCATGTTTTTTTTTTTTTTTGATCTATCTACTACTTTAAAGTCTAAGTACAGGATATTTTAATGACTTATAAAAAAGAAATGGGGTGGATATCACAGAAGACTCTAACATTAGTGGGATTCATTGAGTTTTATCTCCCTCTCCCTTTAACTCTCCAATTCAATGAACACTGCTACCTTTTCATAAAATTTATTTACATAGACCATTTATATCAGATCAATTATCTGACATCTCCCAAAGTTCTCTTCATTTGGGGGAGCTTGATTATTCCTGGATTTAAAACACTCCCCATTATTTTAGACTACAATAATTTTTTCTTGATGTTCCCATGGAATTTTATATGTCTAATATGATCCTTCTACATATGTATATTTTATTGATCCATTCTCACACCACATCTGAGAGGGCAGGGAAGTACCTTATTTTATATATACATACATACATAAAATATTGGTAGTGTAGGGAAAATAAGTGATCCTTTTCTCCAGGATAAGGAAATTAGAACCAAGACAGAGAGGAAAAGGTAGATCAATTAATGAAGATTAGTGCTTCCAACTGGTTGTTGTAGTAGAATGTGAGGGTGGTAACTTTTGAGAGACCAGCCAGTAGTCATAGTGGCAAGCAAAGATGATCTTAGCTGAGGTGAAGAGAAGGAAAGAAAAGACAGAGAAAATAGGGAACTTGTAACAAGGAGGAGGCTTAGATAAACACTATAATACTTACCATAGTTGATTAGCAATGTACCAATGAGGAATTTAATATAGTCAGTAGAAATGAAGGGAGATTAGGAAATGTGAATGCATACAGAATAGTAACGGTCTCCCTGTAAATGTGAAAAAGCAATTTTCTGTGATAACTATAAACATGATAGTGATGATGATGTTGACAATTAAAATAACGGTGACTGTTAAGAAGATAGAAGGGCAAAATTTGACCACCAGAATAAAATCAAGAGCCAAATATGGGCCACTGAGGTAAACAGAATGGTTATTCTAGAATTCTTATTAAATATTAGCATATTTCTCTGTTTTCCTTGCTGCCCTGCATTGGCAAGGGAAAAAGAAGTGCATAAGTATAATTTTTCTTATTGGAAAGAATTTTTCCTGTATACTTTCAAGTCAGTAAAATATTGCATGTCTATTCCATATTCCTGATGGGCTTTGAAAGATGTCATAATGGGCATATATATAAGAAGGAAAAATGGATGTAAGCTAGAAAAGATAACCACCAGAAATGATTCAGACTTAGACTCTGTAATTGAGAGACATTCTTAGAAACTACAGGGAAAAAATAGCTTTTCTGATGTGTTGAAGCACAAGTGTATAAACAAAGTCATGAGTCAGAGTTGTCAATTGAATTTTATCTATAAGATCCATAGAGACGTGTTTCAGATCTTGTCAAAACATACATTTAATGAAAATCCTCAATTCAGATAAAAACACAAGCTATATCCATTCACAATTACCTGGTTCTGAAACCATGGTAAATGTTGATTCTATATCAAGAGATGAACCTCTTTCCCCACTTAGGTGATTTGTCTCATTTTCAGTTGATTTATCATGGTGTTATTCCATCATCCTATCAGATATTCTTCTGTCAGTATTATTGTATCTTGAAAATGCACTTTAAACATTAGGCTTTTAATGAAATGTTCAAATCTGGGCAAAATGCATTAGTTCCATTTCTTTCTTTTTGAAACAAAGCCTTTATCTATTTTAATGAAATTTTCTTTGAAAATAAAATTAACTTAGCGTTACATCCTAGTTTTCATCCCAATGTGAATAAATACATTTCACTAAAACATTCTTTTTGGGATAGAATCTAGAGTAGATAATGCCAGGAGATAATTATTCATTCCACTTCTTTGTGCCTGCCATGCACACTATTTTTTTCCCACATCTAGAGACCTAAGTTAGAAAGTGTAATGTGTGACATTAAAACCTACATTTGCCTGAAATATGTTTTTCTGCAATTTCCAAAGAGCTAGCAGTTCAAGAGGTGTTTCAAGTATCATAGATCCACTTCCATGAAACCAGAGGTTTTCAGATTTTGCCCCTGGAAAATGATCATGTCTGTAGTCAAGTGGAGCTAAAGTTCAAATGTTGTGAATACCAACCCCTGTAGAAGGTGCTTGAGCACAAGCGTCCACCAGGGACACTTGGAAAGGGTGCTTCTTTAAGTTAGTGACAATGCAACCCCAGCATCGCCATTTCTTTGATCAGCCTGGTTGGCATCAGACATTACTATGGAACCTGAGAAAGAAGACCAAAATGCTTGCAAGTATCAGAAGCATTGTGCCTGAGTGCAGAAAGTAGCAGAAGCCTACAGGCACCTGAAAAAGTAACTTCATGGCCATGCTGACATTGTGGTTTTATTAGGAAATACAGACAGTAATTGGTTCAATTATAAATCACCTTGGAAGTGATTATGGAATTATCTGGATTATCTGCTTGACAGTTACCTTCCTCACAGAAGAATTCTTATTCTCCCTTAATTCTAGGTCTCCCTTAATTAATCAAGAGGCCTGAGGTAAATCACTCTTTAATGGCTGAGATGAAAAAAAGCCCTAATGGCACTAAGCCCACATTGAAAAATATGAGAGTCATTATTAAAAAGTATACAGAAAAAAAGAGTTTTCAGGTGTCTACGAATGTCAAGTATGAGTCAGAGTTGTCAATTATAAAACTTTTAAAATGATAAGAATACAGCATATGATTTTTTGAGACATTATCTTTTAATTATGAAAGCAGTCATTTTAAAATGGCCTAGAACTAAGCCCAATTCCAAGACAGTTGACACTCCCATTAGGGCAATTACTCTTGGCTAAATACATAGGCTATAGTTATCAGTGGGAACCATTCATTGAAGAAATTAAAGGACAACTAAGGGAGAATAGAAAGAAGGAAAGGAAGAATAGATTTATTTTAGGACAAATTATTATAAAATTACCTTGCAAAGTACATATAGCATGGGGGACTATGTATATATTAGTATGTCTATATATATGCACAAATGTTGTGTTTGTATATGCAATAGAATGTCCCTAAAAGATACACAAAAGAGTGGAAATATCAGGTGCTTCTGAGAAAGGTGACTGGATGCCAGGGAGATGGGTAGGAAGAAAAGTTACTTTTCTCTGCATGCTTCTTGAATGCTCATCATTATATGTATTTCCAATTCAAAAGGGTAATTAATTGTTAAGCACTTCTAGAGAGGTAAAGCTCAAGGAAGCGCCTCTCTTGGGTAGTATGGTCCATGGTGGCAGATTAGAGTCAGTGTCACTCTTACTTTAAGTGCAGTAACATGCACGTGGCCTGATTTCAATAGTACCCAAGCCCTTGAAAGAAATCCCTTGTCCAATAACTATTCTAACCTAGCTTGCTATTATAATGGCTAAAATTACAGCACTGTTGCTTCTGTTCTTGGATTAAAGATTTTATTTCATATTAAAACTACTTGATGGAAATGACAGTAAGCCCAATTAGTATTTTACTCCATAATTTGAATGAGAGTATTTGGTTGTAGTCTGGCACTGGGGAAGAATATTGATGGTGCAAGGCATTATAAAACAAGGCATTATAAAACATTATCAATAAGGAAATAAAATATTGTTTCCTTATTGAAAGGAAAGGCTGGGAGTAACAAAGGGAAACATATATGATAGTTTCATTCAGAGACAATATTGATGAAGATTTTTGAACATCAAAAATCACTGGCTGTGTCACAATTTATTATACAAATGTGTTGGTTGGTGTTCATACAGCTTTTGTGTGCTGTATGAACACCAAACAACACATTTGTATATACTAGGCTCCTACTATGGACCCACAAGGTTTTTCAGGGATTTGAAGTGGCATCAAGAGGGCATCTACAGCATTCTAATGCACCCTGGTAAAGCATATTGCAATAAGTTTGTCAGCATGTCTTTCATTCCATGGTGACAGGGTAGTATAGTGGAAAGAGCCCTGAACTTGGATCTAGAAGACCTAGGTTCAAGTTCTGGTTCAGCCATTTTTGAGAAAAGATGTCTTCACCTATCTGTGCCTCAGGTTTTCTTCTGCCTTTACCTACCTCACTTGGGTTGTACTGAGGATCAAATGATATCATGAGCATGAATTATTTGTTTTCAACTGTTACTATTATACAGATAATTTGAGTTATTATTGCAATTCCACCATTTTTCTTTCATAGCCAACACTTACTGTGTATTGTGAAAACAGCTGCTTGATTTTCTAAATGGAAAGAAACAAGTTAGAGAAATTCGGGCATCTTAGATTCCTACCAGAGTAACCATAATGTAGAGGTCATAAGCCTCAGTTGGTTTTCCTTATATTAGTTCAGTGGGGAAATTTCCAACCTGAAACGGCTATTTCATATTCCTAAATATAAAACAATGAGGGAGCCATTTGTGGGAAGGAATTATCTTTACCCATTCAAATCCCATCTCTGATTATTTTCTTGGACTCATTTTAAAAAATAAACCAAATAAGAGAAATAGAACAAATTTAACTTAGTCCTATAAAGGAGGACCTTAAATTTAACTGAAGATAATATGACTGCCATTTCTGATGTATTTTCTTGTCCAGTTACTATAGTTGCAAGGTTCACTGCACAATAGTACTGAGATGATTTCCTATTTTAGAATTAGTATTTAAAAGAGAGCATTTGGTCTCACAACATGGCAGGTTAAGCGTACCAGAAATGGAAGCCCATAATTTAGTCTTTGAGAAAGTACTGCATTGCTCCTTGGTTGATTCTGGGCGACCCCATATCCTTAATTTTCATTATTGAATGAACTTAAATATTTTATCCTTAGTTTATAGACCTTGCTGGTCCTCCACATCCTGAAGGATAATTCAGTCAATTTTGCTGATAATCTGAGACTTAAATGGCATCAATATTCAGGTCTCTTGGTGCTCAATGAATGGACAGTATAATGTGTTCAGTTGGGGCAGTTAGGTTTAGAGTGAGAAAAAAAATAAGTCATTAGTTTGTTCTTGATGGTGTTGGATATTTTTCTTGGTGTGTTGCTCAGACACTGTGGAACAGGGTCTTAAAAATGTAACTATGTTTGACGAAGCCTCAATAACAAGGTCTTTGGAAGCATTCTGGGCTCCCTTTGGAATTAACGCCTAGGATGCTGTCCTGACTGTTGTATGAAGCGTTTGCTCATTGATTTCTTTCCTGAGAGAGCTACTCTGCACACTTATGACTGACTACAGACACTTTCAGCCATGCAGAAGCCACTAAAGGGAGCATATGAGCAAAAGGCATAGGCCTCAAATGGATATTCTAATGTGTGCAGTACATGTAAGAACAAAGTCACCAGGTTACTCACTTGGAGTCTAGTTTGGCCAGCCAACCAAAGTGGTTATGAGGTAAATACAAGAGAGAAGCTGGACCCTTTCTTTGACTCATGCTATGGTTTGTGTATCCACCATTCCATTATTAATATGATACACCAAATAGTGGCTCTGTATACTCATCCAAAGGGCAAAATAAATTCTGGATTCAGTAAAAGTATGAAAAGTCCATAGGCAATTATCATTTGAGAAAAGGCATCTTCACCTATCTGTGAAGTATATATATGACTGGATAAGTCTTGTTTTCTATTTTTTCTTTTTTTCTGATGATGGTGGAACATATTTTCTTGTGGGGAAGAAAAGCCACACTTGCCTATGCACTGTCAAAGCAATAGAATAAATTTGTGGCAAGGGAGCATAAATGTAGGCACAAAGAATTACATGTAATGGTTTTACATCTTTATAGTTGAGTCTAAAAACACAGTTAATTTGTTAATTATTTTAATAAATAATTAGTGACTAGTCACCATGTGCCAGGTACCATTGTTAGGTGCTAAGTATAGAGTGGTAAATAGAAATTTAAGCTTTTAAATGTCAGTTCTTACTATTACTATCTCACTTAAATAAAAACTGGAATATAATTTGTAGGTTGAATGCTTATTATCCAGGATATTTGCAGGAAAGAGACCACACATTTCAATGGTGTGAGAGAAAAAAACAACCCTTAAAGGGAGAGTGTAGTATTCTGGGACTATCAACAGAACTGAAGAAGCAAGGGAGGGAGTGATTACCAGAACCTGGTGAAGGCAGCTATACAGAAGGGTCACCTAATGAAACCTGTGGAGGAATGTAGTCAATTTGTGCTATCCTAGCAGGAAGTAAGCCTGGGAATAAATATCCAGACCTTGCCCTCCTCCTGTTTTCCATTCTCCTGTGGAAGCCTTTCATTAGCCAGATTCAACTAACAGTCAGAGAGCAAGGGAGCCCATTGATACAAACCCTGAAGGACAGTTTCCTAGGGTACAGAGAATAGAAGAGAAGAGAGGGGTTGGGGTGGGGAAATGGAAGACAACCAGCACAAATGTCAACTTAAGAGCAAACTCACCCCTTACCATTCAGGTGGTTGAGCAGACATCTCCAACACTGATGACAAATTTAGTAAGCCTTCTTTGATCAGTCTGGAGACCATTTGGATATATTATCCCAATAGATAAGTGCTATCCCCAAAAGCAGAGAAGAGAGAGAAATATAGTGTAATGTGATTGTTCTGTCTCCTAAATAGAAAACAGGAAGAGGTGCAATAAATGGATTGGAGTATACGTGTGTGCGAGAGAAAGAGAAAGAAGGACGGAACTGGGGAGGGTGCAAGGTGGGGAGGAAAGGGAGGGGGCACTAGAAATAAAGGGAGAGAGACAGGAAGAGACAGAGGGGAGAGAAAGAGAGAAAGGAAAAAGAGAGCAAGGGATAGAGAGAGACGCGGAGGGAGAAAAAAAAAGAGAGATCTTCCTGTGGAGCTTACGAAAATAATTAATACAGTTTCCTTTCTGTCTGATTTAACATATTTGCTAATATTAATGTGCTTGTCCCTACAGTAATTCCCTCCAGGCTCCCCATGCTGGGATGTGTTGTGGGTTTGGATTTGAGCAGAAGATTTAATGCCAAGTCTCTCTGGGGAAGCATTTTTGAGATAAATTCTTTCCCTTCATGCTCTTCTGCTCTGCATAGACCTTGAGAAAGGGTGTTAGAAGAAAAGATTGGGTAAGGGGTTAAAAAGGCATGAAGACCAGGGGCAGAGTAGTGTGCATTTCCAGGAAATGGAGAGTTCTGGGAACAGTTGCTCATTTCCCACTCCTTGGCTGGTTTGATTATCACACTTGAAATACAGCTACTCATCTTGGCAATTCTCCTACGTTAGGAAAAGCCCAGGACTACTTTACCACACAATTTTTACTTCATTTTTAAACCAAACATACACAGAAGGTAATACAATGTATCTTCTTCTAATTTATTTGCATTTAAATACTTCAAGATGTTGATTTCTAATAACCACTTCATGACCAACAAGACAGTCAAGATTTCTTTTATCAGGCTTTCTATTAGAAAAAGCATTTTGCCCATTTCCCACCACCCAAATAAATGTATTCAGAAAACAAGGGATCCGTTTATTTATATTTGAATCTCAGAGTCTCTGAAAAGTGAATGAGGCACACATTTGGCAAACCAAACTTAAGTTAGATTATGTGATTCAGGAAAATTTATAAATATAATGTACGGTGCTGACAATGGATTTCTCATATTCTACTTTTTCCTTTGAATTAACTCTGGTTTATTACATAAGTTTGTATATAGTATGCCAAATCAAAGGATTTAGGATTTAATACTAAAACAAATTAACAACCAACCAGATGTGTTTCTCAAGCCATGTTTTTCAGAAGACCTGATTCAAAGCCACCTGAGAGTCTGGTTAAAAAGGCAAATCCTGGGCCCCACACCTCTCCATCTACAGAATATATGGATGATGGGATCTTGGAGTATTCATTTTGTCAACTTAAATCTATAAATTTGGAAAAGGAAAGGAGACTTTATTTCTTGTAAAGGGTTATAGTCTGCAAAGTGACCATCCTGCAGCCTGGGAAGCATGTCTTTGGACAAGACCAGAGACAGGCACTTCAAAGGAGGAACGGTTGGTATAGGAGCTTTATGTTGAACAGGTTGGCTAAACATACATATTCAACAGGTTATAGAAGGCTACGAATATTCACAAAGGTGGTTCTGATGCATGTGTATAAAGCAAACATGCATGTAACATACAACCCATGTTCACTTTGAGGTGGAGACTTAACATTTAAATGTCTTACAATTAGGGCCTGTATGTCAAAAGGCCTTTTTAGGACACAGAGGCATGCAAGAGTGATCTCTTTAAACCAGCCAGAATCATCAGTCCATGGTTGGTGGTCTTCTTATTAGGAGAAAGTTACTGACATCAGTCTCTTGTCCGGTCAAAGCTGTAGTTATGGTTGATGGAACAGGGGATCAGTTAGCATCTGTGAACTGGATGAGTTGTAATTGTTTTAATATTGCTTATCTTGAGACCAGTCCTTATTTAACTGCTAGAGAAGAAAAAAAAAAAACCCTGTGGCAGTTAGAACATAGTTTATTCTTTAAGTGTAGGGGTGCATGATTTACCCCTTGCCTAGCATGGTTTCAGGTCCTGTATATAATTTCATATCTCATTGCCACAAAGAGTCTGTTCTGTCAGTCTTATGATCTCTACTTTAACATTAGTGCTGGTCAGTTGTTGTGTCTAAACGCCAAAAGAGAGGAGGTATAATGAGTTGTGTCTAACCTCCTGTCCCATTGTGGCTGGGAACTCAATTTTAAGATTTTTCTGGAGTCCCCTTGGCTACAAGAGGGCCCATTCAGTCAGTAGGGGCTTAGGATTTTAAGTTTACAACTTTAACAAAGTCATTACTCCCTACAGGTTAAGACCTACAGGACTAGAATAAGACATTTTTGCCCTTATATCAGAAGGATGATACCTTCTTTATAGTATTTTTCCCAAGATCCTATGTGCCTATATTGTTTTACGAAATGAAGGGGGAAAATCCCACAAGAGAAAAAAATATCTAAATCGAGACTCATGAGGCCTGATTTTAACTCCAGTTTTGACAATTATGACCTGGAGCATGCCACTTAACCTCTTTGGGAGTCACTCTTGTCATCTGCAAAAAAAAAAAAAAAAAAAAAAAAAGGACTTAGAACAAGATGTCTCTCTACTTCACTTCTAACTTTGATGGTCCCTGGTTCTAATAGTCTAAATTAATATCTTTGGGTATATCCTTTTGTAAATTGTTGACTCACCCAGAGAACTTGGATGCACCCAATCTTCCTAGATAATGTTTCCTTTCTTGGAAATTATTAATTCTGTCCAGCATTTTTAACAGTTGTCTCTACCTTATTTCAAGTCCCAGTATTTCATTCAGAATTGTTATTGCAGGGAAGACCCTGGAAACTTATGAGGAGATTACTGAAGAAATAAGCTATTACAATTTTTGCCTTGCTCTTGGTTTGGAGGTAGCAAATTCATGTACAAAGGCTGCTTCTGGGAAATGTAGCTACCAAGTTTCTTTAATTCAGCATCTGGCCAAAGATGTTTCCCAAAACTGTAGTCCATGAAATGTTCTCTAAGTTTTTAAATGTAAAATAAGTATAGGAAATTCTGCAAAACATCCTCTGAGAGAGACTTAATATCCATTAGCATATTAAAAAGTTGTGAGAAAATATGTAGTAAAAATAAATACACAAATAAATATTTTAAAAACTTTTTTTTACACAGGGGTTTGCTTGATATTCACTTGATCACAGATTCCTTATCATGAGTAACATCCTGGAGAACCAGTGTTTTATGGAATATTTTGGAAAATGTAGTTTTGGTAAAATCCAGAAACCTAAACAAATTTTGCCATGAAAATAGATGATGGGGAACTTAAACATACATAAAATATAATAATTTGCCAGAAAGAGAATATTCATAAGAGTGAGAAGGGCCCAGCATTCAGTAAATGAGGCTTTCATTTTGATTCATGGTCAACATTAGCATTATGATGCCACAAGAGAATTACTCTACAAGTTAGAATATTATTGCAGTCTATTTTTCTCCTGCTTCATCTACATGAATAAATAAACAAACAGTGGCATTTTGAAAAGCATAGAGAAAAGAAATTAGTCAATACATCAAAATACTTGGATCTAATAATCACCTACTGTTTTAGTCTTTATGATTTACAAAAGCTGACAAATATATACATTTAAACAAGTGACCTTTAACCTTGAATTAGAGATATTTCTTCAGCAGTATATGACAAAGTTTCATACCTGTATGAAGAATTTTCTTTTGGATTGCTATCTTCTTTCTCAGGCAGCTTTCAAAAAATGGGTAAATCTTGTAGTTGTGCAATTTCCACTCATTTGCTGAGAATAGTTTTTCCATCACTTCCTTGCAATGAAATTTTAAAAATTTAAATCTATACCAAAAATCTCATTTAAAATTGAAATTATGCAATATTTATCTTAACTTGTGCAGATTTAAGATTAACTTCCTATTTATTAGTATTAAATCACTCTAAGTTTCTCTGTTTAAAAATGATAATGTTTCATATACTTCAATATATAAATTCCAAGGAAAAACTATTGAAAATTGTTTGCAATGAAGATGGATGCAGAAAATGAAATGTCTTTGAAATATCACTAAATGTCTTGGGGAAAGGATGATTATATATAGATATTCTTAAATATAATATATACTTTTAAATTACTAGTTCCTCCTCCATGCTTTCTCTGAGAGTGTTTGTCAAGTAAGCAAGCATGATTTTTTTTCTTCCTTCTTCTCAATCCAAGCTCTTAGGAAGAGATAAATAACGGAGTAGGGGTAGGGAAATAGTGATGCCACCTCAGACTTAATCAATGGCTCCTGATTCATGTCATTTATTTTACACACTAGGTGAAAACACATTGGTGATGGAGCCCCTACACATTCTATATCAAACTAATCCTTTATTTGAGACAAAGTATCCACAGTGATGACATTAGCATTGCTAGTATTCCACTGTACAGCCCACAGATAATGGGATACCAATTGTCTTAGTGCATTTTGTGTTGCTATGACAGAATACCATAGACTGGGTAATTTTGAAGATTCGAGATTTATTTCTTACAGTTCTGGAGGCTTGGGAGTCCAAGGCTGAGGAGTCTGCATCTGGCGAGGGTCTTCTTGCTGCATCATCCCACGGTAGAAAGCAGAAGGGCAAGAGGGCATAAGGAAGAAGGGGAAGGGGACTGAATTCATCCTTTTATCAGGAAGCCATTCCAGTGAGAACTAACCCACTCCTATGACAATGACATTAATCCATTCATGAGGGCACAGCCCTCATGACCTAATCATCTCTTAGAGGCATCACCTCTCAACATTATTGAATTGGGGATTAAATTTTCAACACATGAGCTTTGGGGGACACATTAAAACCACAGCACTGATTAAGTTTGTCTTTTGATTGAGGTTGGCAGTCTTAGATACACTGCATCTTGAAGAAGAACTGAATAAAGGTTAACTATAAAGAAGTTATTTGGGCATGCACACATTTGCTTACTTTGAGTTCAAATTTTGTTTTATATAATCTGAGTGCCTGACTTAGATCCTTTGCTATCATTTGCTTCCAGGGTCACAGCTTCTCCATTTCCAAGGGACAGACGGTGTCATTAGATATTGGGGTATGAGAAGGTGGCTTTGCTGAATTATTAGTTATAGATGTCAAGGAATATGAACAAGAGGATAAGATTTTCTTTGGAATCCTGAGATTTGCTTTCCAAAGGAAGTATATACAGTGTGTTCCCAAAATATAAAAATTTAAGACATCATCCCTGTTTGAAAGGAAATGTTACATATGCCCAGGGTCATGCCTTGTGAATAGGAAGCCCTGGCACTGAAAATTTCACTTTTTTCAGAGGCCTTTTTAAATAGATGAATGCCAGGCTACCTGTTCTCTCCAAAATCTAAGGTCACAGTTTGTTAATAAGGTTGCCATACTATTCAGTATTTATTTTATCTGAAATATTACCATTTCATTTCCTAGAATCCGTGCCCACTCTGTAACCAGTGGCATGCTTAACCTGATCTTTATCAAACTAATCCTATATTATCAGATGTATTTCTCTAGCTCTCCCAACATAAAAGGAATTATCCACAGTCTGGAATATGTGTTCCTTTTATTTCCCCCAAGTTTCTGACTCACGTTTGTTTATCATGCACATATGCCTCATTTAAGTGCATCCTTTAATCAAATATTCTGAGCAAATATTCCCACTTAAAACCCAGCAGGCGGCTTCCTGTTCCATAGATCTCCTGAATGCCAACAAAGTTTATAACATGCAGGGCTTTCCGCAGAGTGTATGAATTTGTGACTTGGGGCAAATATCCTAAACCCTATTAAAAAAAAGATTTCCTTGGCAAAAGAATACACTTATCTCAAGGAGAAAACTCCACGATTCTACTTGTCAACCAGCTCTGCAAATAGGATAATTACACACGTGGGATTTTTTTTTTTTTCTGCCTACAGTTGAAACTGGGTTTGCAAATGGCTCCTGGGTAAAAAGTATTCTATAGCACCTCCATCTCCCAGAATGAGTTCATTTAAGAGGTGCCAATGTATAGTTAACAGCACTGTAGTTTGGCTGAAGGAATCTTTGTGATGCTCAGTAAGAGTGGATTGACATGTGAAGCTTTCATGATTGAGTTATTCCTTCATCATGGGGCCTCTCTCATTCCCCCACATATTGAAAAGAATATAATTATTACATAAAAATTTGGAGCCATGTGCTAACAATATGTGCCATAATAAACCATGCATACATAAAGTCTCAAATAAGCAGGTACCCTCTCAGTGTCTAACTTTTCATATAAATGCCAGAATAAATTATCTGCTTCAGTGATAGAGCAAAGCACTTGAGGGTATTAACAAAAAGTATCCATCAGTGACATCATGTAATATGCTATATACATCACAGAATGACACCTTTAAAAAATATTATTGACTTTAGATGGGTGATGTGGCAGGTGCAAAGAAGGCAAAGAAATAAAGATGACATAATAAATAGATCCTAAAGGAAAGCTAAGATCAAAAATAAACTCCTGTACTTTTTTTAGAAAATCCATAGTGCAGCTGCTCTGGGGTGCCTGATTGCCTATATCTTTATCTGAATGCACAGAAAAAGGAAGCTGAGCTGTCACCCAAGGGAGTGCAGAGCTCAAAATACTAGTATCCTTGATATTCTAGGTCTCTCATGACCCTTGAAACTCTCCTAGGCCTTCTCATCATTTTTGGATAAAGTGCTTGCACTTGTACATGTCTCACAAAGATCTCTGTGTTTAGGTTCTTTACTACATCTGTCTGAGGTTGAGTTTCCAAGAAGCAGACCCTGTGCAAAAGAGATTTATTAAGAATAAGCAATCAGGGGAGACATATAAGAGAGTGAGGAAATGAGACAAAGAAGTGGGAAAGCCAAGCATCTATATTGTCAATTTCAACATCTTCATTCCACATCTCAAGCCACACCTTCCCACTCTATGTTCCAGCCTCGATGCCCCATTTGCCATTCCTCAAACCTTTTATTTCTGGTGCTTGGCACTTGCATTTCTCTCTACCATCCCTGCCTTTCCAACAGCTTACTCTCTACTCTGACTTCAGGTTAATGTCATTTCCTCTAGAAAGCCTCTCTTAAACTACAAATCCCAACCTTTCCTACGTGCTCAGTCTAGAGTCTATCTTGTGATTAGTTGCTTCTCTATTTCTTTCCATCCTAGACTAGTTCAAGAAGGTTAGGATTGAGCTTATCTCATTCTACATTGTATCTCCAACACGTGACAGTAGGTAGGTTGTCAATAGACATTTATCAAGTAAATTTAAAAATTGATAACACTAATCCTTAATCTCAGAATCTGTACCAATGCAAACTTGAATATTAAGAACTGAACTAAGTTATTATTATCTGCTAATTATTGTGATTCACTTAAAATTCATGAAGTCCCTCCATATGTATCATCTCATTTGACTCCTCACTGCATTTTCTTGAATAGAAAACAGCCAGAATTTTATCATTCTTGTTATTTAGGGGAAGAAAAAGTTATCCTGCTGCCAAATAGGACTTGGACAAACACTACCTTTCCTTATATATAACCTAGGATGGAGGGGAGTATAAGTCATTAGAAAATGACAACAGGGACACTCATTCCCCATCTGCAATACTTTATTGAATATATTTGTAACACAGCTGCTGCCCTTTCTATTACAGGTTGAATTGAATTTATCTTTGAAGCCCCAGGTTTTTGTGCACTTTCTGTTTATCTAGGAGCTTAATAAATATTTAATGTTGAGTAAGTGGATTTATTTACATGTAGACATGTATCACGCATTTATTATGCATAGGACACTGCGCTAAGTACAAAGTAGAGGGTGATTCAAAGGAGAATTGTTAACTTATCAGCATTCTAACCTGCAACTTTACTATCCCACCTTCTTCTACTTTACCACTATTTCAGTACCAATATCCCATTTATAAAAAGTTTTCTTTTCCATGCCTAATACCGAACATGGATGGATAGTGACATCTAACTTATCCAAATAGAATCCCTGGCCTAAGGCACTCTCCTACTCAGTGTCTGCAGTGTTCAGTAAATAAAACCAAAGGCGCATAAATCATACATGTTGATAATATTGGATATACCTGAATTGCCAGGGAGTTCTGACTGCTAAAGTAATTTCAGGTTCACTTCATGGTTATGGCCCATACTTCCTTCCAACCAGTGAGTCTGTGGTTGGGCATCTTCTGAAATTCTCCTCTTGAGCTTCATCTTCCAGCTTTACAAAAAAATTGAGTAGTTCTCAAGTACAGGATTCTCCCAGATTATGAGGCAGTGAACCAAAAATCTTTACAAAAGACTAGGGGGGCTAACTAAGGTATCCACTAATAGTGATGACCTTTATTTTTCTCTAGAGGGCCCGTGGTACAGGAGAACTCAGTTCACTGAGGAGGAAAAAGAAGTAGCTCTAGGCTTTATAAAAGAGGAGGTACTTGAATTTGGTATTGAGAGCAAATAGGTGTTCAATGAATGAAAAGGGGAATTTCAGATAGAGAACTGTCCATGTCTGGAAAGAACATTGCTAGTTTGGGGGATAATAAAAGATGAGTATCTCTAGAGGAAGTGAAAGGGATAAATCATAGAAGATAAGCCTACAGAATAAAGTTAGTTAAGGCCAGAATGTAAAGAAGATTATTGAAGCATAGATTTAACCACAGGTAACAGGAAGGCAATCAAGGTTTTTAAGCAGAAGAGGAGCATAATTACATAAGATTTCTAAGAAGATAACTCAAGATACCTTTCAAAGGATATACGAAAAAGGTAAGGGACCAGGGTTCCAGGACAATCATCCACAAAAGAGAGATGATGAAGGTTTGGGCTTAGGGAGTGGCAATGGGTTAGAAAACGGGCAAGATTCACAAGATAAACTTAAGGTAAAATTGCATCAGACAAGATGTAGCGGGTACAATAGAAAGAGTAATGTTTGACTCAAGGTTCCATTTTGAGCAACTGAGCAGACAGTGATTTTGTTTATTCATGTCAGGGACACACGAGGATATCTAATCTACAGTTGAAAATTTTAATCTGGAGCCAAGAACAGATACCAGAGCTATAAATGTAGGAATAGTAGTCATCATATAATGACAGTATTGCTAAGATCACCCAGTGAGAATGTGTAGAATAAATATAGAAGATGAATAAGAATAGGATTTCCATGAGCATGAACATTGAAAGAATAAGAGGAAGAGAAGGACTCAACAAGGGATACAGAGAAAGAGTGGTTAGAAAATCTGGAGGAGAACCAGAAAGAGATGCAGTCATTGATATTAAGGGAAGAGGGAGTTTTGCAGATGAGGAAAGCAACCACGACAAGTGCAGCAGGAATGTTGAGTAGAAAGAACAAGAGAGGTCATTGGATTTGACCACTGGGACATTTTTGACCTTAGCAAGGCCAATTTCCCTAGAGTGGTGATACAAAAGCCCATACTGAGTTGGTAGAGTAAATGAGATTTGAGAAAGTGGGGAAAAGTAAGTCTGTAGATTTATCGTTTAAAAGATTGGTGCCAAAGAGAAAGAGAGGGATTGAATACTAGATTACAGAATTTGAGGGAAAGGAGGTTTTTTTTTTTTTAAAATTAAGATGAGAAGGGTACATTTGTAGAATAAAGGAAAGGGAGACTGAAAGTACGAGTGAGATAGAGGATAATTGATGGAGGAGAGTTCTGGAAGGAGCAGGAGGAATCAATCTCATAAGGAAGATGAAGAGATTACCTTTGCACTGAAGGAGGAATACCATTTCCTTACTCTGATAATAAGTTTTACAGGTGGAGGGGAAGGTAGTCAGATAAGTTCACATCCAATGATCTGTATTTTCTTGGTGAAGTAGTATTCTGTCATCTGCCACAGAAGGGCTGCTGCCACAAGCATGGGCTGGTCCTGGGCACAGTCACCATGAAGCTAAAAAAGAGCATCAGGCCCTTGATGCTTTGATACCTGCCATCTTTGCCGCCAGGACAGACCACAAAGATTCAAAAAGCATTTAAAAATTTTAAACACATCATGAAAACAGACTTTTCTAAAAAAAATTTATACTTCTCAGTTGGCTTATTGAGTAGGAAGATATTTTATGTATTTCAAACATATGTCCCAGAAGATCAAGCCAGAAGGTATTATGCACAATTCTCAGACAAAAGATGAACAGAAGTAAAGGGACTTAGTGTCCAAGTTATCCATCAGCTCACTTCTTAGCCAGTGCTTTATTCCTCACTGCACCCATGCGTATATTTCACACCATTTTCATTGTAGGAACTCAGAAATTGTTAATAATAACATTGTTGGTTTATATTAATGAGTCCTTACTATGTGTCAAGCATTTAAGCACTTTGCATATTAACTCATTTAATCCTTCCAATAACCTTACAGAGAAGGTTATTATCATCCCTATTTCACAGATTACAAAATAGAACAGAAATTGTATTTGGTTGCTTATGGTCATACAGCTAGTAAGAGTGCAGAAATGGCTTTTGATTCCAGGCAGTCTAGCATGAGTCTGCCCTCAGTGCTATTAGTGGGATAGTAAAAACCTTAAAGATTTGTGTTGTTATACACCAAGCCTATAATCATTTCTTAATTACAGCCATGCTAGGGGCTTGTGAATCTGGAGGCATGCCTAAGGATGTGTTTATTATTTAACTTTACATCCTCAGATTTGAGCACATTAATAATCCTCCATAAATATTTGATGAATAATCAAATGAATGAGCAAAGATGATTTCTCTCCAATCACCCAACAGCTTTCTGCTTGGGATGTATTGGAACTAGATTGTAGATCGTGGGGTGGAGGTATGGTAAAGAACAGTTGGTGGCTAAGGAAAACAGAAGAGATACAGGGACTACTTCCTCCATGGGCTACACATTACATGACTTTGTCTCTGACTAACGGCATTTTGTAAACTTTTTTTTACATCTTTGAGTGCAAATTTGTGATGTACTTAAACATATTTCAAGAAAATGCTATGATATACCAAAAACATGCCCTTTCATATGAGATTTTATCTAGTCCTATAGTTTGCTTCTAAATAGAGTTTTTCTCCGGACCCTAGGAATGTTTTCATTTAACAATCTCAAATCATTTGGGCATAGTGAGAGAAAACTGTAAGTCTGAGACATGAAGTCTATAATTTATTCTCTTATTACTTTCCAACACACATGAAGAGCCCAAGCTTGCTCAGGGAATAGGAAAGGGAAAAGTCTGGGGGCTGCTTGCTGGGATGATGTTCCTTCAGAACTAAGGAGAATGCTCTCTGAAATAATTTACTTGTTCTTTTCTTAAGCAGAGGAAGTACTTGCTGCTTATGTACAAATTCAAGTTAACTTTGTAGTAAGGTACAAATTAATTACAAAGTATTTATGAGGGACATTTATGATGTGCCTAACGTATAGCAACTTTGAGAACTTACAGAAGCAGTGACAGGCAACTTTTGTCCTTTAGCAATGCATCATCTTCCTCAGCAAATGAAATAACAGACATAAAACAAGTCTGAGCAACAGAAGCCAACTCCTCTCTATATAATTGTACAGCTATATATGGAATTATGTCATGGAGATTAGAAGTTCTGAATAAGGGGAATTGATAATGGCCGAAGTGTAAGGAAGAGGTGGAAAATGACGTGAAGACTTGGAGTATGGGTGGGGTATGCAAAGGCAATGTGTTCCTCATGATGTGCCCAACAACATGTTAAGTGTGTCATATGCATGCTCTCATTTGTTCTCTACAAAATTGATAAGTACTACTGTTAACGATATCCTTTTTCCAAATCCAGAAGCTAATGTTCAGAATCCTTAGAGCTGGCAAGCTGTGAGAGACAGAGAAGCTGGTCAAATCTAGGCAGTCTGGTGCTGAGGCCCACATACTCAGCAACTGTACTACACCTTATGGTGGCCTAGGCAGGCTAATCGTGTCTGCGTTTGCAAATATACAGGTCATATGACTGGAGATGAATGTTTTGAGAGGTATGCATCAACCCAAGCCAATACCCCAAAAGACTCTTAGTAGGATTCTTCCCCTTTGACCTGGCAGACCTTCTACCTCCATTGCCTGAGGGTAGGAGAATGAGGCCATTTCTCATCAGAGGGCTTGCTTTTCTATAGTACTGCTCTATTGTGTCTGGTACAACACACAAAATTAGAGACTCTTTAAAGCCTCAACAAACCTTGTCTCTAGCATGAAAAGATCATGGGTAAAAACCCTATTCTGTTTCATTAGCAACTCTCATGTCCTCAAATTATAACCCTCTCAAGGTCCCAAGGTGATGTCACTGTCTATTATCATGAGCACACAGGCAATGATGGTGTCTAGTGGGAGAATGACCTCCTCAATTTCAAGTGTGAACTCAACTATGATGAATGAGAGGAGGCCGTGTGGCTTCTTCAATCTTGGAGGGACAACCGTATTCGGCTTATTATCAGAGATTGTCTCACATTGAGATGGAGGTAGAAATATGTAATATCAAAATCCGGACATAGAACAGTTTCTCCATCACCTCAAGACTGTCTAACAATACAAAATGTGGTGGCCTTCAAATCAGAGAAAGGATATGCAATAAAGAGCAATTATGCAGATTCAGCCTTCAATTGCTGATTATACTTTGGCTAGTGATATATACTCACTATGAAATAGAGCCATATCTTCCCCCTCCTCTGCACATGAAGAGATACATCAATCCCTTGCAAAGAACCTCTGCTCTCCTTTCCCTTTCTCTTTTTCTCATGCACAATTTGTTGCCTCCTCTGCCATGTTCCCTTAAACACTATTGTTATTATCACATGACATTGTAATTAGTCTAATCCATGTCTTTCTGCCTTGATAGATGATGGCTTTTTTTTAATGCAAAGATTCAGTACATTTTGGTATTCCCAGGAGCTTACAAGGCATCAGTGTCTGTGTCTTTCCCATATCCCCGGTCCCTTACCACATCAACCTGACTTCTACATGGTAGCAGCTGCATTTCTTCGTTGAGGGCATTCTCTGATCCAAGCCATTTTGCCCACCCTTGTGGCAGACCAGAATTAAAGGTGAATTAGTGTCTCCTGAGAGTACTCTCATCCAATGACTGGTGGAAATCAATTTAACATACACCAGCTCCTTCTCCCCTTGGGCAGAATAGCTCTGAGGAGTCCTTCTATACTGGCTTCCAGAGTTGCTCATGGGACAAGGCTTCATTTGCCATCAGAAAATAATGGACTTATTAACACACCTTTTATTGTTTGCCTAACCTGTCTTACTTCCCGACGTCTCATCCAGCATATTACTTACATCCCTAACAAATGACTTTCACCTAAATCCTTGACTCGAGGAGAACACAAACTACGTAAGCACCCAATATACAGAAGGACTTCAATAAATGTCCTTTTAATAAAATTGAATTACAAAGATGCATAGTGTAGCATGAGATAAAACGTGGAAGTGCTATGCTACGTAAGTGCTGGGAGCCTATCAGTCAAATTTGAGCACTTGTAAACACAACAAGCACCATGATTTCAGGATTTCCCTTTGCAGTGGGAAGGCGGCTGTCCTAGTTGTTAGTAGAGAAGAGTACATTATCGGAAGCTCTGGCTTCTATTTTTAGACCTCTTGCTGACATAGAAAACCTGTTTCCTAACAGTACTGTAGTGACCTTCCCACCCTCAGAGAAATGGTGCAGAATGCCTAAGGAAGAAACAAGTCCCCATTTGTGGAAGCCACAGAGGAACAGAGGAGGGAAATGAGAGCTTAGGTACTATTCGTTGGCAGACATGGTGCTTTAAGATCTCTTTTGACAGCTAAATAGAAAGTGCTGGGTTGCCTGGCAGTGCAGTGGCCTTGAACAGGATTTAGGTCTCCAAGCTGCTAAAGCTTGGCTCTGAGCCCAAGATGTCCAAAGAGCAATAATCTCTTTCTTTTTTAAAAACCTCACATGAAAAAATAATTTTCCAAAATAAGGTAAAATCATGACTCTTACACAGTTATATAATTAATACATGTTAAAGATTTTATTTAACTCATTAGTCAATGAGGGAACCAGGCAGATGGTATAATCAGTTCAAAAAAAACCTCAAAGAACAGACACATCTATAGATAAAAATATTGAAATAAATGTGCAAATGGAGGCAAAATTAGCCTCTTCCACAGTGGGGGAAGGAAGTCACTTGAACCTCTACAGGACAGAATTTCCATACCTATAAGCAAGGGATATTTTGTATTACTATTAGTTATATAATTTGCAGAGTTTTAAAATAGCTCCCATAGAATCAGAGTCTGATAACACTGAAAGGTATGCTGTATGGACAATGTATAGTTTTTTACTGAAGCATAATTTTTCCCTACACTCACGATCGTTTGATTTAATAATGCAATATTTCTCCAATAAGGGGGAATTAGACTTTTTACTAGAGCTTACTTATACTTTTAAAATCCAGCTCATTTTCTTAACACTGTGTATAGGGATGAGAGTAATCAAATGCAGGGCAGAGATACTATGCTTGAGAAAAGTACATCTGATTGTTAAGAAAAAGATCTCAAGGTTTAGGAGGAAGATCCTTCCTTGATAGGGGAAGGAAAGAGATGGTAACAGAAAAGAAGTAGCTGATATTTCACATTTACATTATCTCATTCAGTTCTCCCAATGAACTTGAGAGTTAGGTGAAGATATTTCTCCTTTTATAAGATGAGGAAATGGGAGCCCAGAGTAATTAAGTAGCCTACATAGGGTCATACAAATAGTATATAGTAGAGCCAGGATTTAAACCCAGTCTTTTTAGCCCTGAAGTTTATGATTTTCTTCCATTATGCCATACTGTACTGGTAAAGGATGATGTTAGGATGGAGGGCAACGGTTAAGACTTTCCTGATCCCCACCTCAAACAGGGCAGTTCAGCAGTGGTATCGAAGAAGCATGTAGCAGTGTTTCTCATTGGTGATTGTCATATTTTTGTCATAATTTTCTCATTCTGTTGAGTGCTCTGGAGAGATAAACAGAATTGGCTTCTGATCTCATAGGTTTAGCTTAAACATTTGATTTAAATGAATTACTTTTTGAATGAATTACTTTTTGAAGCTGAAGAAATGAAGGCCGATTAACTGGGTTAAAATGCCTTAAAAGTTGTTCTGAATCAGATTTCCTGGGATGCCACTAAAAGTTCCTTACATAAAAATGGCTTATATTCTTATTAATAGCATTTATTGAACATTTACTGAATGCCTACTATGTGCTCAGTACTATATTAAGTGCCAAGGGAACACTACAGTGAATCGGGTAAAATCCATGCCCTGTCCAGAGCAAACTAGAAAAGATTAGACACATATAAAAGTCGACCATAATACAATAAGATAAGGGTTATAGGGTTATAGGAATGCTAGGAAAGATGATATTCATATAGGGAGAATCATGCAAAATTTCATCAATTAGGTATCATTTGGCTTTGGAGGATAAGTTTTTAACTTGGAAACAAATGTGTATATGTGTGTGTATCCTATCAGCCAATTCCATTATCATAACTCCAAACATAGTATAGTTTCTTCTTAAAAATTATTAATGCAAAAAATTCTATTTCCAATTTGTCAGGGCCTAACAAGTTGGTGAACTTGTTATTCATAGTAGAGGATTCAATTAACATGAGAGAAAGTCATCTTTAATTCTATTTTTGTTACTTCCTAAAAGGAAAGGATATGTCATTTAGGTTCATGAAAAATTCTCAGGTCTTTATATTTCAAAACTAATTCCAAATGGCATTCAAAATCATTTTCTTCTAAGGCTAAATGGCTCTTTATTTATTATTCACCCCAATCCCAAATAGCAAGAATCCCATGTTTTCCAGCAATTCTTTGATGACATTTTATTATAGCATAAATAGAAATATATGTAAATTATTCTTACAAATTGTTCTCAACCTGAAGGTTCCATTTAGCCTCTGAGATCTTTAAAATAGGAAATGAAGCTTGTTACCACAAGCAAAGTGTTCTGAATCTCCCAAAACATAAACTGTTCACTTTAAGGTCACTATGATCCCGCAATGAACAAAAAAGCAGCAGTTCACTTGTATTAGAAAAGGCTTAGTAAAAATGCCCTCTCTGTGATGCTTGGTTGGGCAGACACGTTTTGTTTCATCTGACATTTCTTGCAGAGTGACTCAAGAGCTATTCAGCAAATTGTTTCTGACTTGTCCTTAATGCCTGATTTTCTTTTATTTAGCACCACAATTTACCATCTACTTGTAGGTCATAAGTAGTAGAAGACCAAGTATATACTAGACACATAATGGGTACTCAATAAATATTTGTTGATTTAATAAGCGACTGAGGATTTGTAACATGAAAATACACAGAATTCAGCAAATGTCTGCAAATTCAGTTTTCTGATTAACAAACTCAACAAACGAGTATAAGTTCTATTATACTGCCATGTCTTCACCTAAAGTATTTCTTTTTTTTTTTTTTTTTTTTTTTTTTTTTTTGAGACGGAGTCTCGCTCTGTCGCCCAGGCTGGAGTGCAGTGGCGCGATCTCGGCTCACTGTAAGCTCCGCCTCCTGGGTTCACGCCATTCTCCTGCCTCAGCCTCCCGAGTAGCTGGGACTACAGGCGCCCACCACCACGCCCGGCTAATTTTTTGTATTTTTAGTAGAGATGGGGTTTCACCATGTTAGCCAGGGTGGTCTTGATCTCCTGACCTCGTGATCCGCCCGCCTCGGCCTCCCAAAGTGCTGGGATTACAGGCATAAGCCACTGTGCCCGGCCCACCTAAAGTATTTCTAAATATTTTTTAAAATCCACACTCTTTGCTGAAACATGTGAGACTTTTTCATAAGAAAGCCATATGACCAAGAAATATTTTAATATGATACTAGCATTTGTTTGGTGAAGCAGAAGAGTAAACTGAAGCTCATTTCATTATTACATAAAATGTGATCTTTGTTAAATAAACTTCCTACTCATCCTGCAATTTTACCTTCTTTTTATAATTTAGTGGTTATCAACTGGGGAGATTTTGTCTCACAGAGGACATTTGGCAATGTTTAGACACATTTCTGATTGTCACAACAGGGGGTGTGGGAGAAGTGGTGCTACTGGCATCTAGTGGGTAGAGGAGGGGGATGCTGCTACACACCCTGCAACGCACAGAACAACTCCTAACAAAAGAGAATGATTTAGTCCAAAATGCCAATAGTCCCAAGGTAGAGAAAGCCTATTTTAAAAAAAGAAGCTGGCTGCAATAATCTCAAATTCATGATGGCTACATGGGTTTTCCAGACATGAAGAATGTTTATGCATAATTCCCAGAAACAAGAAAGGTATAAAAGGTGGTTGGGTCCTGCCAAGAAGTCCTGTAAAGCTAAGAAGAAAAAACAAAACAAAACAAAGTTTACAGAGAAAAGAGAATGGAAATAGGATAAGATGGGCATTATTTCAGTAAAGATTGGCATAGAGGATATTGGAAGATCTAAGTTGTAGTCTCCAAGATTTCAGTTTATATTAAAATGGGTTTGACAATGTATTTCCTACACAGGCATATTTTTACAATCCAATGAACGCACAATAATGATAGTAATACTACTACCATTACTATAAATAACAGTAACTACGATCTATTAAGGAACCATTACATGCCTTCCATACATTATTACTAATTATCACAATTATCATCAAAGTAAGCATCATTATTTCTATTCTGCAGAATTAACAGGCTCAGAGAATTTTTGGCAGCTGTTTAAAGTTGACAGGTGGTAATAATCAGAGTTAGTGTTAAAGATAAAACAGACTAGTAGCCACCATACTTCAAATATATCTTTAAGTAGTATGACCCAAATTCCAGGTTTTCTCAGGACTGCCCTGGTTTCTGCCTGATTTTCCTGTATAATTATTAATAGCACTCACTTTCTCTTAAAAGTGATCACTCTTTATGAGATGATGGATTCTCTCTTTTCTCTTTAAACTGGAGAAATCCACATCAGGCAAATATAGAAACTTGCTGGCATTCTCAAAGCCCTTTGACATGTATCTGAGCCATGTGTTTATTTGTCCATTTACTTATCCTTGTGTGGGAGCAGTTGACAACTGGTGGCCATTTGTGGGAAGGACTCACAGAAGATGCTATTTGGTTCTTGATATTTAAGCTACCTTAGGTGTTAATTAATTGCTTTGTCTAGAATTTTTTTTTTTTTTTCTGAGACAGAGTCTCACTCTGTTGTCCAGGTTGGAGTGCAGTGGCATGATCTCAGCTCACTGCAAACTCCACCTCCCAAGCTCAAGTGATTCTCCTGCCTCAGCTTCCCAAGTAGCTGGGATTACAGGTGCCCACCACCATGCCAGGCTAATTTTTGTATTTTTAGTAGAGACGGGGTTTCGCCATGTTGACCAGGCTGGTCTCGAACTCCTGACTTCAGGTGATCTGCCCACCTCTGCCTCTCAAAGTGCTGGGATTACAGGCGTGAGCCACCACAACCCATCTGTATGGCAATTTTCTAATTTCTATCAACATGGCTTGTCCAAAGCAAATGGTTTTTGATGAGTCCAAAGCTGTCTCATCAGGCTGTGGGAATCTGTAAACATCCAGCATGTTTACTTCTCTGAATGTTTTACCCTTTGCACAAACCTGGAATGTCAGCAAACAAGCTGAATGCAGTAAGACTGGTAAAACCATTTGCGTATGAGTTGAGCAGAAGAATCGATACATAATTTACGGTGAATTTTCAAGGAGATTAAAACAGCACAGTGGCAGTGGGTTAGATTGTGGGGCCATTTCTTTTTTTTTTTTTTTTTTTTTTTTTTTTTTGAGATGGAGTCTTGCTCTGTCACCAGGCTGGAGTGCAGTGGCTGCAACCTCCACCCCACTGGGTTCAAGCGATTCTCCTGCCTCAGCCTCCCGAGTAGCTGGGACTACAGGCGCCCGCCACCACGCCTGGCTAATGTTTGTATTTTTTTAGTAGAGACGGAGTTTTGCCATGTTGACCAGGCTGGTCTCAAACTCCTGTCCTCAGGTGATCCACCCACCTTGGCCTCCCAAAGTGCTGGGATTATAGACATGAGCCACCGCACCCAGCTTTTTTTGTTTGTTTGTTTTTGTTTGAGATGGAGTTTCACTCTTGTTGCCCAGGCTGGATTGCAATGGCACGATCTCGACTCACAGCAACCTCCGCCTCGATTGTGGGGCCATTTCTAATTACAATCATGACATTTAAAAAATTTCTCTATTCTTTCAGATTAAATGACTTAAATTCTCTCTCATAAAGGGAGTGCCATGAAGAAAAGTCATTCCCTCTCCCTTGTGATCCTCCTATCCTCCAAGGCTCTCTCTTTCATGGGCATCAAAGCACCATGCAACGCAGGAAGCCATAATAAGAAACAGTGCTTACTCATGTTCAGATATCAAGGCTCTGACCCTTAACTCTACATCTTCCTGCTTCTTCTGTGTGCTTTATTTTCCCCCTTTGTCTATTGAGCTAATGGCAAGAATCTTTATGCTAGACAAAATCTTTTTATTCTAAAGGAAATTTAATTTCTGTATATGTCAAGCCCATATATTTCATATTCTATTCCCATCCAAGGGCCACACATTAAAACAATTGTGGTACTTGAAGACACATTAAGTTATTTATGTGAAATTGCAAAGTGAAAATGCCACTTTTTTCTATTTGTGACAAGAGAGAAAAATAATATCATTTCCATCTTGGAACTCAAAGATTTCCCTCTGTTCTCAAGTAGGCTTTTACCTTAAAAGGACGCTGGGAAATAACTAAGGAGAACTAACAAATAGTGACTAATTGTCTTGGTGTTACACAGGATACCCTATTATTTCCCAATGTTTATTTTTAAATAGAATCCATCACAATGCTTTTCAAAAAATAATATTTGGCCAGGTGTGGTGGTTCATGCCTATAATCCCAGCACTTCAGGAGGCTGAGGTGGGAGGACTGCTTGAGCCCAGGAGTTCAAGACCAGCCTGGGCAACACGGTGAGACCCCCGTCTCTACAAACAATACAAATTTAAAAATTAGCTGGGCGTGGTGGTGCATACCTGTGGTCCTAGCTACTTGGGAGCCTGAGGTAAAAGAGCAAGGCTGCAGTGAGCTGTGATAGTGCCACTGCACTCTAGCCTGGGGGACAGAGAGAGACCCTGTCTCAAAAAAAAAAAAAAAAAAAAAAAAAGAATAATAGTAACATTTATTGTGAACTTAGAAATCTGTGGTAAATACAAACATATATATATATACATACACACACATAACATTAACAAGTGTTTTAAAATATAGTCATTATGAATAATAGAAAACATTTTTGTTATCTAGGTTTTGAATATGCAAAATACAGAAGTCTCATGTATGTTTATGAGCGATGTAAGTCATTATAATAACTGAGTCGTATATATTAAGTATTTGTTGTCCATATTATCTGGCTTAGCCCTGTTTCACTTCCATACTACCTCCTAACGCTTGTGATAAATAGTGTTCTGATTCAGGCTTGATGGTTTTTCACCTGAGCCCACTCCAGTGCATCTGGCTCCGAGGCCATCATTTCCCATCCATTCTTTCTGCTATGACTTTGTTCATGCTACAGAGCACAATATCAAACTCATTGTAGATAGTCCTACAGGCAGTCCCTATGCTCTTCCATGTCCATGGTCAGTCCTCATTTCATCTATGGAAAGACCATGGAATTTATAATAATTCCTGTTGTTCTCTAGCCTCCTAGTCTGATTAGGAGCAGGGCCAGGCAAAGTTGGCTTACAGACCGAATCTGGCCTACCACCTGTTTTGTAAATAAAGTTTTACTGGAACACAGCCACACTCATTTATTTACATATTGTCTACAGCTATTTTCACTACAAAAGCAGAATTGAGTAGTTATGACAGAGGCCTTGTGGCCCACAAAGGCTAAACTATTTAATATCTGGCCCCTTAAAAAAATGATGTTGACTAGGGCACTGAGTTTTTAAGACAGCTCAGCCAGGAATTAATAACTTTGTCAAATCCAGTTACAAATAGAGCTTTTCAATCACATCCATAAGTTATATCTGCAGACTAGAGAATCATAAATTTAGTCTTAAACTTATAGAT